>NW_015148968.1:0-145162 GCF_000001405.40 Homo sapiens | reverse complement strand
GATCCTTTCTGAATTAATAAATTTATTACTTGTTTTTACTAAACTTATTTTGTTCAGCTTTTCAAGGAATGCCAGTTCACTCTACTGTTTTCAGGGTTTTTAAAAAATCAACTTGCTTTCAAAATCAAAATATTAGATTTTAACATTCCAGCATAAATCTTTTTATATAAATAAAACTTTTGTTGATGCTTTTGGTTTTTCATACGCCTATATTTAAGGGGTAAATCTTGAAAATATTACTAAGGAATTGGAATTGACATCTAATTATAGTAGTTGAGATAATATATTTATGTAATCCCTTTTAGAGAAGTTTAATAAATATTTTTCAACAGACAAAGCATTATCTCTACTTTATTTTTTTTTCTATATTTTGATACTAGCCCGTCCTGTATCTGTTGAAGAAGCTTTCTTAGTGATTCGTTAGGAAATTCTCTTTCTGGAACCCAGTGACAGTGCAACTCAAGTAGCGTCTCTACTAATGTGAAGTCACAACACTGATCATGTAGAACTCATGTATCTGATTTCATTAGCAAATTAGTAGATGGTGTAGGTTTCTAAGGAAGAGTGAACTAATGCATTCTCTTTGCTTTAGTTTACATTAAATCATTAGGGAATAGGGAAATAGGAAATTTTTTCTTTTGCCACTTATAAATGAATAAAGCCTTAGTTTTTGTTTTGTTGTTTTTTTCCTATGGCCCCCTGTCACTTGAAGGCCTTAGTTTTATAAACCAGTATTTTGCTTCTCTTATTGACCTGATTCAGTTTATTAGCCTTTTATTAAAATATATACTATATACTTCATAATATTTTATTTTTGTTAAACATTTGACTCTACTAAATTAAATATTTGAAAAAATCTCACTATAACAGTATTTTTATTCTAGAGTTAAAATGGTTGTATGAAAATAGTTATTTTTGTTAAAATAGTTTTATATATAGGGATAATTATATACGTTTAAAAATGCCAAGATTGTTACTCTAGTGTTTCAGTTAAAAAAGCTTTTAAAGGCTGGGCACCGTGGCTCACACCTGTAATCCCAACATTTTGGGAGGCCGAGGTGAGCAGCGGATCATGAGGTCAGGAAATTAAGACCATCCTGGCCAACAAGGTGAAGCCCCGTCTCTACTAAAAATACAAAAATTAGCTGGGCATGGTGGTGCGTGCCTGTAATCCCAGCTACTTGGGAGGCTGAGGCGGGAGAATCGCTTAAACCTGGGAGGTGGAGGTTGCAGTGAGTCGAGATGTGCCACTGCACTCCAGCCTGGCGACAGAGCTGGACTCAGTCTCCAAAGCTTTTAAAACTGTCTTGTGTGTGGATAAAGGTGATTTTTAAGAATATTTTATAAAATATTACCGAAGTTTATGTTTGTAGGTGTTAGCTCTCCCAAAGACTTCTTGAATAGTTGTTTCAGACGGGTTTAGGCCATAATTCTGAAAGAGACAGTTCTTTTTTTTATTTTTTTCTTTTTTTTTTTGAGATGGACTTTCGTTCTGTCGCCCAGGCTGGAGTGCAGTGGTGCTCGGCTCACTGCAACCTCTGTCTCTTGGGTTCAAGTGATTCTCCTGCCTGAGCCTCCCAAGTAGCTGGGATTATAGGTGCGTGCCACCACACCCGGCTAATTTTTTTGTATTTTTACAAAAAAAAATACAGGTAGAGACAGAGTTTCGCCATGTTGCCCAGGCTGGTCTTGAACTCCTGACCTCAGGTGATCTGCCCACCTTGGCAGGGTTTTGCCACGTTGGCCAGGCTGGTCTCAAACTCCCGACCTCAGGTGATCTGCCCACCTCAGCCTCCCGAAGTGCTGGGATTACAGGCATGAGCCACTGCGCCTGGCCTAAAAGACACAGTTCTTGATGCCATAATCCCAAATACTGAAATCCCAAAATATCGAAATCCAAACAATATAATTCTGGAAAAAATAATTTTAAAACATTATTTAAAAAATACTTATTTGGGCCAGGTGCGGTGGCTCACTCCTGTAATCCCAGCATGTTGAGAGGCCTAGGTGGGCAGATCACTTGAGCTCAGGAGTTTGAGACCAGCCTGGCCAACATGGCAAAACCCCGTCTCTACTAAAAATATAAAAATTATCTAGGCATGGTTGCAAGTGCCTGTAGTCCCCGCTACTCGGGATGCTGAGGCACGAGAATCACTTGAACATGGGAGGCGGAGGTTGCAGTGAGCTGAGATCATGCCACTGTACTCCAACCTGGGTGACAGAGTGAGATTCTGTCTCAAAAAAAAAAAAAAAAAAAAAAAAAAAAGACACTTGTTTGGCCAGGTACAGAGTCTCACACCTGTAATCTCAGTATTTTGGGAAGCCAAGGTGGGCAGATTGCTTGAGCCCAGGAGTTCAAGATCAGCCTGGGCAACGTGGAGAAACCCTGTCTCTACAAAAAAATACAAAAATTAGCAAGCTAGCGTGCACCTATAGTCCAGCTACTTGGGAGACTGAGGTGGGAGGATCTCTTGGGTCTGGGAGGCAGAGGTTGGAGTGAGCTGTGATGGCGCTGTCTGGGCAACAGAGCAAGACTTTGTCTTCAATAAACAAACAGAAAAACCACTTATTTACCTTTTTTAAAGGGGATTTATTTGAGAAACAAAAACATGACAACACTTCATAGGCCACTTAATATAGTTTGGATATGTGTCCCTGCCCAAATCTCATGTTGAATTGTAATCCCCAATATTGGAAGTGGAGGCTGGTAGGAGGTGATTGGATTATGTGGGTGGATTTTTCATGAATGGTTTAGTACCATCCCCTTGATGCTGTCCTCGAGACGGTGAGCGACTTCTCGCGAGATCTGGCTGTTTTAAAAGTGTGGCACCTCACACTCTCTCTTGCTCAGTCCTCATCATGTGATGTGCCTGTTCCCCCTTTGCCTTCTGCCATGATTGGAAGCTTCCTGAGGCCTTCCTGGAAGCAGGTGCCACTATGCCTCCTGTACAGCCTGCAGAACTGTAAGCCAATTAAATCTCTTTTCTTTTAAGTATTCCTTCATAGCAATGCAGGAACAGCCTAGTACACCACTTTACACAATAAAATAGTAACAAATGTATTTTGCAAGTTTAATCACTCAGTATACTAACCGTAGTTGCATGGGTGTTACATTTTGTAACTGTGGTCCTCTGAAATACCATGATGGACAAACTAGGTCTTTTGATGAGGTAGTAAAAACAAGGATGGGTCATCACTGTGTGTGCAGTCTCCTGAAGAGCAGAGATATTGTTGAATTTTATCTTTCACAAAAACAGTATAAAAAAAGGACATCTCATTGAAGGTTCACCTTTTTTTTTTTTTTTTTTTTTTGAGATGGAGTTTCACTGTTGTTGCTGAGGCTGAAGTGCAATGGTGTGGTCTCGGCTCACTGCAACCTTTGTCTCCTGGGTTCAGGCGATTTTCCTGCCTCAGCCTTCCAAGTAGCTGGGATTACAGGCGCCCCGCCACCACGCCTGGCTAATTTTTGTATTATTAATTTTTGTAGAGACAGGATTTCACCGTATTGGCCAGGCTGGCCTCGAACTCCTGACCTTGGGTGATCTGCCCGCCTTGGCCTCACAAGTGCTGGGATTACAGATGTGAGCCACCGTGCCTGGCCAGTTTCAACTTTTTTTAAAGAGACCATAGTCTTCTAGCTATGTTGCCCATGCTGGAGTGCAGTGACTATTCACAGGCATGATCATAGTGCACTTCAGCCTCAAACTCCTGGCCTCAAGTGATCCTCCTACCTCAGCCTCCCTAGTAGCCGGGACTGACTACAGGTGCTCCACCACACCTGGCTTCTACGTTTTGATGAACACAGCCAGAGCTTACACATGAAGTCAGTGTTGTGATAATGCACTTCTGTGGAGTTCAGTTTGCAAAAAAAAAATGCATAGAATTAATTAGAACTCTCCAAAAGTCTCTACACAATTTATATCTCCAGTATTAGAAATGATGTGAAGATAAAATATATAGCATAGCAAATTGGCACTATGTGTGAAGGAGCAGAAATAATACACCATTGAATAATTTGGCAGGGGAGATTTCTTGTATTTTTTGCCTGTATTTTCACTTCTGCGATCTTCAAAGCACTTGCTCCAGTTTTATTTGCAAAGTGGTTGTGATCCACAAATTTTGTAAGTATATACTGTCTATTTGAAAGCCTGATTATTGCCTGGCCGTTGCAATTTCTGCTTTTGCAGCACCAGTGATAATTAGCTTTTAAACTTTTATCTTTCGCCATTAAGTAGCCGTGTACACTTATCAGAGCCTTTTTGCGAGGGAAGAGTTTCACAGATCTCTTCAATTGTGCTGTAAAGAATAAAGTAAGAAGAACTGATACTCAGCTTCCCCAACACCAAATCTGCATTAGTCAGGGTTCCCTAGGGAGACAGAACCAATAGGATATGTGTATAGATATGAGGGAATTTATTAGGGGAATTGGCTCATATGATTAATGGTGGCTGAGAAGTCCCATGACAGATCATCTGCAGGCTTGAGACCCTGGGATGCCAGTAGCATACCTCAGTCCAAATCCAAAGGCCTCAGAACCAGGGAAGCTAATGGTGTTATCTCTCGGTCCAAGGTCAAAAAGCCTCAGAATTCAGGGGGCCACTGGTTAAGTCCTGGAGTCCAAAGGCTGGCAAGCCTGGAGTTCTGATGTCCAAGGCAGCAGAAGAAAAGTCTGTTCTAGCTCTCAGCAATTCACCTTCTGTGTACTCCCTGGGCTCCTGGCTGATTGGATGATACCCACCAACATAGAGGGCTCTCCTTGCCTACTCAGACTCGCACACTAATCTCTGAAAACATCCTCACAGACACACACACAACACAGTGCTTTACCAGGTTTCTAGGTGTTCCTGTCAAGTTGATAGCTAAAATTAAGTCCACAAATCTATCCTCGGCAACTTGGTACCCATAGGCATCTCCTTAAACCATACTTAATTTCCAGATAATGACAATAGCAAGGTCATAGTTCCACCTAGCATGGTGTAACTATTGTGTACAACCAAAACTATGCAAATTCCCTGCCCCAAAATTCGGCTTTTGGGATTTCATCATTTGGGATTTTAATCTTTTGGGGTTGTGGTTTTAAACATTAGGGATTTTTAGACTTTAGTCTTTTGGGATTTTAACATTCAGGATTATGGCATTTGGGATTATGATTGGTACTGATTGCAGACAGTTTTTGCTAAATCTAGTGTTTAGATATAGCAGCAAAATAATTTCTATGTATATTTAATCACTGATGTAGTAAATCAGTAGTTAATATTTACAGATCCCTTACCCAGTACCAGGCACAGTGCACGTTTTATATTCATTATTTAATTCTCTCAGAATAACCCAATAAAGTCAGTATTTTATCTGTAAAACGGGGATAAAGAAACAGACTGAAGAGAGATTCATTCATTTGGAAGAGGTTCCTCAGCCACCAAGTGATAGAGCCAGGGCTGGCATGCAACTCTATGTGGCTTCAAAACCTGTTTCTCCCTTTTAGTGTAAAATGTATACTTTGTAAAAATGTACACCATGTGGCTGCTGCTTTCTCCCCACACTGACAGGCTTTCCCTGCCCACCTGAGCCCAGGCAGCGCCCACATGAGTACGTGCTCTCTCCCTCAGCCCTGTTCTCCCTTCACAGCAATTATCTGACAGTCTTGTCTTGTATCTGTTTCCTTCACAAAATGTAAGCACCATGGGATGGAAACTTTGCCTACTCCATCCCTGTCTGCATCCATGTTTCCTAGAGTAGTGCCTGACACACAGTAGGAGCCAACATATTTGTTGTAAAGGCTATGAACCAGAAGGTTGTATCAGTCTACAATATTCACTTTTTAAGTCACTTCTGTAGAACAGACTATTAATTTTTTCTTTCTAGTTAGTGATTTTAAGTGAGGAAATTGAAGAGAGGTGTCTTGAAGAGATGCGGAGGAACCAGTCAAGTAGGAGACAGGTCAAGGCTTGTGGAAGTAGAGATTGGTAGTGGTTTAAATGAGCATGGTGCTGGACCTGCCTGAGCTCTTGTAGCTTCGTGAATAGTAACCTTTCTTCCCCAGTCCCTGGTCTAGTGTCTTCCCAACTACTGCCAGAAAATCTTCTGAAAGGTAGCTCTTGTCGTATCCTTTTCATTTGTGTACTGAGTTAAATTTAGACACCTTGCCTTGGTCTTCAGGGTTCCATGGTAGGACCCTGCCCTGCCTCTCTAACCACATCTCCTGGTTTCCCCAGTTGTATCCTCTGCTGCAGCTCGGTGTCCCCAGAGGTGCCTTTATTTCCAGGTCTGGGTCCGTGTCCTCTTTTCTGTTCTCCATCTTATCTTTTTTTTTTTTTTTTTTGAGATGGAGTCTCGCTCTATCACCCAGGCTGGAGTGCAGTGGCACCATCTCGGCTCACTGCAAGCTCCGCCTCCCGGGTTCATGCCATTCTCCTGCCTCAGCCTCCTGAGTAGCTGGGATTACAGGCGCCTGCCACCACGCCAAGCAAATTCTTATATTTTTAGTAGAGATGGGATTTCACCATGTTGACCAGGCTGGTCTCTAACTCCTGACCTCAGGTGATCCACCTGCCTCGGCCTCCCAAAGTGCTGGGATCACAGGTATGAGCCACCGCGTGCAGCCTGTTCTCCATCTTTTGAGATAGTTATATTTCAAGGCCTTTCTCAAATGTTACTTTTCTCCATGAAATCTAACATTCCCTTAACTGGATGTTTCCTTCATGACGTTTGTAATTTTCTGGTGCACCTTTAATCTTTGCTTTTTGCTTTTTATTATACCTTTCTTTTTTCCTTTTTTTTTTTTTTTTAATTTTTTGAGACAGAGTCTTGCTCTGTCCCCCAGGCTGGAGTGCAGTGGCGCAATCTCGGCTCACTGCAACCCCTGCTTCCCAGGTTCAAGCAGTTCTCCTGCATCAGCCTCCCAAGTAGCTGGGATTACAGGCACCCGCCACCACGCCTGGCTAATTTTTGTATTTTTGGTAGAGATGGCGTTTCACCATGTTGGCCAGGCTGGTCTCAAACTCCTGACCTCGTGATCTGCCTGCCTCAGCCTCCCAAAATGCTGGGATTACAGGCGTGAGCCACCGTGCCCAGCCTATTATACCTTTCTAAATGTGTTCTTGCCCTCCTTCCCCAGTCCTCCCTGAGGGCAAGATTATGGTATTGGCACTTGCCGTATCCTCTACGGTGCATTGAACACATGAACAAGCAATCATTTTAGAGGTAGAGAAAAACACGTACGAGAAAAAGGCAAACAATGGTATTTAGTTTTGGTGTAGGGAAGACTTGTCCTTTTCCAAGGATTAGTTTTGGTGGTCAGGAAGCTTTTTGAAGCCAGGAGAAACAATGTAGGTAAAGAATTAAGTATATTGAGGCCAGGCCTGGTGACTCATGCCTGTATCCCAGCACTTTGGGAGGCCGAGGCGGATGGGTCACTTGAGGTGAGGTAAAGAGTTTAAGACCAGCCTGGCCAACATGGCGAAACCCTGTCTCTACCAAAAATACGAAAGTTAGCTGGGCGTGGTGGCATGCGCCTGTAACGCCAGCTACACGGAGGCTGAGGTAAGAGAATCACTTGAACCTGGTAGGTGGAGGTTGCAGTGAGCCAAGATCACACCAGTGCACTCCAGCCTGGGTGACAGAGTGAGACTCCATCTCAGAAAAAAAAGAAAAAAGAAAAAGAATTAAGCAAATTGGGTCTAGTATTTTAGAGTAGAAGAAAAGAAACCAAATGGGGAAACGACTGAGAAGCACCATTTTTCAGAGTTTGGGGATGAGTCCTAGTACTTGTCCTCAGGGTGTTCAACAGTATTGTGTGGGAAACAGACAACTAGATCATTGATAATACGTTGTAAAAATTTGACCATAGAGCTGGCTGTGGTGGCTCATGCCTGTAATTCCATCTATTCAGGGGCTGAGGTGGGAGGATTGCTTGAGGCGAGGAGTTGGAGACCAGTCTGGGCAACGTAGTGAGACCTTCTCTCCAAAAAATACATAAATAAAATTTAAAAATAAAATTGGCCATAGAGAGGGAAAGGCGCTAGAAAACATTGGTTAATTCTACCAAAGCTTAGTAAGAGCTAGTGATCTTAGCAAAATTGAGGTCCTGAGCAGGTGGGCAGAAAGGTTGACATCGCGCTGGAGGAAGCTGTCTTAGGGTGAATACATGAATTGTCTTGACCCCCTTAAAAGGGCATTGCAGAAGGTATCACAATATTTTAGGAAGATGATGGTGAAAGGTTAGTTTTTAGTACTAGGACTCAGTTCTTAAGGGAGAAGTAGGTCAGTGTTCAAAGAAACAATATTTAATTTAGTGTTAGAAACCTCCCAGATAGCATCTTGTTCTTCCACGTTTCATGTTTTTGCAGGGCCGAGATGAGTAGCCATGGGAATGAGACAGGAGTAAAGGAGGCTGGACACAGTAGTTGACGCCTACAATGGGATGCTAGGTGGGAGGATCACTTGAACCCAGGTGTTGGAGACCAGCCTGGGCAGCATAGTGAGACCTCGTCTCTACAAAATTAAAAATAGCCGGGCATAGTGGTGCATGCCTGTAGTCCCAGCTACAAAGAGAAAAAAAGGAGTAAGGGAGATAACTAAAGGGGAAGACTATGTAATGAATTACTTGCTCTTGCATGTCCTAGGTTCTTCTCAGTTACACCTTTTTAGAGATTTTTTTTCTTTTTCTTTTTCTCTTCTGAGACAGGATCCGGCTCTGTTGCCCAGGCTGGAGTGCAGTGGCATGATCACGGCTCACTGCAATCTCCGCCTCCCAGGCTGAAGCAAATCTTGTGCCTCAACCACCCCAGTAGCTAGGATTACAGGTGCGCACCACCATGCCCAGCTGATTTTGGTATTTTTTTTTGTAGAGATGGGGTTTCGCCATGTTGTCCAGGCTGGTCTTGAACTCCTGAACTCAAGTGATCCTCCTGCCTCAGCCTCCCAAAGTGTTGGGATTACAGGTGTGAGCCACTGCGCCCAGCCAGATTTTTTTAAATTGATATGAAATTCACGTGACAAAATTAATCATTTTTAAGCGAACACTCGAGTGGCGTTTGCTGCATTCACAATGTGTGCACCCATAACAACCTGTATCTAGTCCCAAAGTAAACCTGCTACCCATTAAGCAGTTACTCCCCTTGCCCTCTTCTGCCAGTCCTTTGCAACCACCGATCTGCTTTCTGTTTTTAGATTTACTTCTTTTGGATATTTCATTAGATGGAATCGTACAATATGTGACCTTTCATGTCTGACTTCTTTCACTTAGCGCGTAGTGTTTTGAGATTTATCTACATTGTATTGTGTATGAGTACTTCATTCCTTTTCATGGCTGAATACATACTCAGTTTTATGTATATACCACAATCTGTTCATCCGTTCATCTGTTGATGGACATTTCGGTTGTTTCCACCTTTTGGCTATTTTGAATAGTGCTGCTATGAACATGTGTGTATATCTATTTGTTTGGATACCTGTTTTCACTTATTTTGAGTATATACCTAGGAATGGAGTTGCTGGATCGTGTAATTCTGTATTCAACTTTTTGAAGAACCACCAGACTTTTTCACAGTGGCTGAATATTTTATATTCCCATGTGTGGCCCAGGCTGGAGGGCAGTGGCATGATCGTGGATCACTACAGGCTTCACTCACTGGGCTCGAGTGATTCTCTTGCTTCAGCCTCCCAAATAGCTGGGATTACAGGTATGTGCCACCATACCTGTCTAATTTTTGTATTTTTATAGACAGGGTCTCACCATGGTTGGCCAGGCTGGTCTCCTAACTCCTGGCTTCAAGTGATCCAGTGTGCCTGGCCCCCACCAGCAATATGTGAGGGTTCCAGTCTCTCCACATCATCACCAACACTTGTAATTTTTTGTTTTCTTTCCTATAGCCATACCTATGGGTATGAAGTGCTGTGTCATTGTGGTTCATTTTTCCTGATACATTAACTTTTTAAGAGAAATGTTAGTAGACTTTATTGCTTAGAGCAGTTTTAGGTTTACAGAAAAAATGAGCAATAAGAGAGTTCCTGTTTACCCTCCCTCAATCCAACCATAGGTTCCACTATTACTAATATCTCATATTAGTGTGGTGCATTTGCTACACTTGATATACAGTATTGATATTTTATTATTAACTCAAGTCCAGTTCATATTTGACCTTTTTTTGTTTGTTTTTGAGAGGGAGTCTTGCTCTGTTGCCCAGGCTGGAGTGCAGTGGTGTGATCTCAGCTCACTGCAACCTCCACCTCCAGGGTTCAAGCGATTCTCCTGCCTCAGCCTTCTGAGTAGCTGGGATTACAGGCACCCACCACCATGCCTGCTAATTTTTATATTTTTAGTAGAGACAGGGTTTCACCGTGTTGGCCAGGCTGGTCTCAAATTTCTGACGTCAAGTGATCAGTCCACCTCAGCCTCCCAAAGTGCTGGGATTACAGGCGTGAGCCATCATGCCTGACTTTTTTTTTTTTTTTTTTTTTTTTTTTTTGAGACAGTGTCTTGCTCTGCCAGCCAGTGCAGTGGTACAATCATAGCTCGCAGTAACCTTGAGCTGCTGGATTCAGGTGAGATTACAGGTGCTAGCCACAGCAACTGACTTGAGTTCATTCTTTGTTGTATATTCTGTGGGTTTGGACAAATGCATAATGTCTTACATCTGCTAATACAGTATTATACAGAATTGTTTCACTATCCCAGGAGTCACCTGTACTCTCTCCGTATTCATCCTTCCCCCTCTTCCCTTGGATCCTTGGTAATCATTGATCTTCCTACTGACTTTACAGTTTGGTGTTTTCCAGAATATTATATAGCTAAAGTCATGTAGCCACTTCAGATTCATGTCTTTCACTTAGCAATAATCATTTAAGGTTCCTGCATGTCTTTTTTCTTTTTTTGAGACAGAGTCTTGCTCTGTCACCCAAGCTGAAGTGCAGTGGTGCGATCTCCACTCACTGCAACCTCTGCCTCCTGGGTTCAAGTGATTCTCCTGCCTCAGTCTCCCGTGTAGCTGGGATTACAGGTGCCCACCACCACCCTTGGCCAAGTTTTGTATTTTTAGTAGAGATGGGGTTTCACCATGTTGGCCAGGCTGGTCTTGAACTCCTGACCTCAGGTGATCCGCGTGCCTCAGCCTCCCAAAGTGCTGGGATTATAGGTGTGAGCCACCTCGCCTGGCCGGGTAGAGAGATCTTCACAGTTGAAAATACCTCTTCTAAATCCTTGACTTTGAGCTCCTCACGTGCTGAGAGTGTTGTAAGTTCGTCTATATAGTATACCCTATGATAACCCCTAATATGACCACAATAGATATTTAATTGTGGTGGTACTATACTTACAGAACAGGTTCATGTTATTTTTGGAAGACATTCTAGATAATAGAGACCATCTGTTTTGTATTCACCAAGATTCTTGATTCTTTGGTGATATCTCTTATTTGTTCTGGAAAATTCCCAATACTTCTCCTCACTTACTGCCTTGCCTCCATTCCCTTCTCATTCTAAGAGTCCACCCATACAGGGATACATTCAACCTTGTAGTCACCCTTTCTTTTCTGTTTTTTTTTTTTTTTTTTTTTTTTTGAGGCGAAGTCTCGCTCTGTCGCCCAGGCTGGAGTGCGGTGGTGCGATTTCGGCTCACTGCAACCTCCGCCTCCTGGGTTCAAGTGATTCTTCTGCCTCGGCCTCCCGAGTAGCTGGGACTTACAGGCACTTATTACCACGCCTGGCTAATTTTTTGTATTTTTAGTAGACACGGGGTTTCACTGTGTTAGCCAGGATGGTCTCGATCTCCTGACTTCCTGATCTGCCCGCCTAAGCCTCCTAAAGTGCTGGGATTAAATGGCATCCATTACAAGTGTTTTTTTTCTTTTCTATTTTTCATTCTGGGTAGATTACTTTGACCTGTTTTCAGTTAATCAGTCTTCTCTTTGACTAATCTGCGTTTTTTTGAGACAAGAGTCTCACTCTTTCGCCCAGGCTGGGGTGCAGTGCAGTGGCACGATCTTGGCTCTCACTGCACCCTCTGCCTCCTGGGTTCAAGCAGTTCTTGTGCCTTAACCTCTCGAGTAGCTGGGACCACAGGTGTGTGCCCCTACACCTGGCCAATTTTTGTACTTTTAGTAGAGATGGAGTTTCACCATGATGGCCAAGCTGGTCTTCAACTCCTGGCCTCAAGTGAGCCACCTGCCCCAGCCTCCCAAAGTGCTGGAATTACAAGTATGAGCCACCGCGCCAGCCGATTAATCTGCTTTTAATTTAATAACTCAATGGATAGTTCTTACCAATATCTTACTGTATTTTTCAGTTGTGATTCTTTTCAAGTCTGCTACATTGTTTTTTATGGATTCCTGTTCCCTGCTAAATTTTTCAAACTTCGCTTTTATTTCCTAGAACATACTAAATATAATTCTTTTATAGTCTCCTGATATCTCCAGTATTTGGAGTTCCTTTGGATCTATAACTGCCTCTCATGGTTCTTACTCATGGTACTTTGTTCATATGTTTGTGTGCTGGACATGGTATTTGAAAAATTGTTTATAGAAATAATTAGAGGCTTTGGGTGTGATGTCTTTTTCCAGGTGACTGACGGCACTAGCCAACGAGGATCATTTTAATACAAGTTGAAGCCCAGGCGCGCTGGCTAAGGCCTGTAATCCCAGAGCACTTTGGGAGACTGAGGCAGGCAGATCAGCTGAGGTCAGGAGTTCGAGACCAGCCTGGCCAACATGGTGAAACCCCCTCCTTACTAAAAATACAGAAATTAGCCGGGCGTGATGGCGGGTGCTTGTAATCCCAGCTACTTGGGAGGCTGAGGCAGGAGAGTCGTATGAACCCGGGAGGCGGAGGTCGCAGTGAACTGAGATGGCGCCACTGCACTCCAGCCTGGGGGGGACAGAGCAAGACTCTGTCTCAGAAAAAAAAAAAAGTTGAAGATTTGAGTTTTTTATGGACTATCCAGATGGTTTGAAGCTGAGTCCATGGGAGGGCTTATTTACTTCTACTTCAGTCTTACTCCTAGGATGCAGCCCTATGGGGCCTCAGTTCACAGGTTCGCTGGGGTGAGGAGCGCGTTACTGAGTTATGAGTTATAAGTTATCTCCTATGCAAGGCCTTGGAGTGAGCCAGGCACTTTCTGGGCCTCCACTGGCAAATCAACAAATGCCCCCAGGTCTTGCCTCTTTCTTTGGATTTCCATCTTTTTCAGGATATTAATTTGGTAATATCTCACTATCTTGTTAGATTTTTGTTACTTTTGGAAAGATGTATATATATTGTATCCAGTTTTTTGTGCAGTTATTTAGTCTGTATTACTGTAAACAGAAAACAAGGTCTTATTTTCATGGACTCATGTTATTCTAACATTAACCTTGAAACAAGTGACCATATGGTGAGTGATACTATTATACTGTATTATTGTTTATGTCTCTGTGTGACACTGTTAAGATGCCTGAATTGTTTGGGTAAACCAGGTGGTATTGGTTGGTGGGTGCTTTAAGACTCACTATCTAGAGCATGATCTCTGCAGCCAGTCGCCTGATTTTTGAATCCCAGCTCTGCCCCTTGTTTGCAATGTGACGTCAAGCAAATGACTATTCTGCCTCTGTTTCGTTGTCTAGAAAATGGAAATAATAATTGTACCTACCTCGTGGGTGGCTGTGCCAGTTAAATTAGTTCATAACTAAAGCTTTTAGAACATTGCCAGACTTACAGTAATGATTAGATAAATTTTAGCTATTATTATTACCACCTAGAAGCTTTGGAAATACAGGGATACCTCATTTTATTGCATTCTACTTTATTGTACTTCACAGATATTGTGGGATTTTTTTGTTTTATAAATTGAAGGTTTATTGCAACCCTGCATTGAGCAAGTCTAAGTCTGTTGGTGCCAATTTTTCAACAGCATGTGCTCACTTTGTGTCTTTGTGCCACATTTTGGTAATTCTCCCAATATTTTAAACATTTTATTCATTTTATTTTATTTATTTTTGAGTCGGAGTCTCGCTCTGTCTCCCAGAGCTGCACTGGAGTGAAGTGGCGCCATCTCGGCTCACTACAACCTCCACCTCCTGGGTTCTAGCGATTCTCCCCCTCAGCCTCGTGAGTAGCTGGGATTACAGGTGTGCACCACCATGCCCGGCTAATATTTTTATTTTTAGTAGAGGTGGGGTTTCACTGTGTTGGCCAGACTGGTCTGGAACTCCTAACCTGAAGTGATCTGCCTGCCTCAGCCTCCCAAAGTGCTGGGATTACAGGCATGAGCCACCACACCTGGCCTGAATATTTTAAACTTTTTTTTTTTTTCTGAGAGAGATTTTCACTCTTGTTCCCCAGGCTGGAGTGCAATGGCGTGATTTTGGCTCACTGCAATCTCCGCCTCCGGGGTTCAAGTGATTCTCCTGCCTTAGCCTCCCGAGTAGCTGGGATTACAGGCATGCGCCATCACGCCCTGCTAATTTTGTATTTTTAGTAGAGACGGGGTTTCTCCGTATTGGCTAGGCTGGTCTCGAACTCCTGTTCTCAGATGATCCACCCGCTTCGGCCTCCCAAAGTGCTGGGATTACAGGCATGAGCCACCGCGCCCAGCCTTAAACTTTTAAAATTGTTATCTGTCATGAAGATCTGTGATCAGTGATCATCGATGTTACTTTTTTTTTTCTTTTTTGAGATGGAGTCTCGCTCTGTCGCCCAGGCTGGAGTGCAGTGGTGCGATTTCGGCTCACTGCAAGCTCTGCCTGCCGCGTTCACGCCATTCTCCTGCGTCAGCCTCCCGAGTAGCTGGGACTACAGGTGCCCGCCATCACACCTGGCTAATTTTTTTGTATTTTTAGTAGAGACAGGGTTTCACCGTGTTAGCCAGGTTGGTCTCAATCTCCTGACCTCATGATCCACCCACCTCGGCCTCCCAAAGTGCTGGGATTACAGGCGTGAGCCACCGCGCCCGGCCTGATGTTACTTTTGTAATTGTTTTGGAGCGCCACAAAGCACTCCCATATAAGACGGCGAACTTAATATATACATGTTGTGTATAGATGTGTGTTCAGACTGCTGCCAACTGGGTGTCCCCCCATCTCACCACCTCCTCAGGTCTCTCTGTTACCTCAGACACAACAGTATTGAAGTTAGGTCAGTTAATAACCTGATCATGACCATTAAATGTTCAAGTGACAGGAAGAATTGCACATCTCTCACTTTTAAATCAGAAGCTAGAAATGATGGTTTAGTGAGGAAGGCATGTCAAAAGCCAAGATAGGCTGAATACTAGGCCTATTGCACCAAACGTGGCCAAGTTATGAATGCAAGAAAAGGTTCTTGAAGAAAGTTAAAAGTACAACTCCAGTGAACACATGAATGAGAAGAAAACGAAACAGCTTATTGCTGATATGGAAAAGTTTTAGTGACTCAGATGGAAAATCAACCAGCCGCAACATTCCCTTAAGCCAGAGCCTAATCCCAGAGCAAGACTTTCTCTTTTCACTTCTGTGAAGGCTGAAAAAAGTAAGAAGCTGCAGAAGTGAAGTTTGAAGCTAGCACAGATTGGTTCCTAAAGTTCTTGAAACCATCTCTGTAACATTAAAATGCAAGTTGAAGCAAGTGCTAATGTAGAAGCTGCAGCAAGTTATCTAGAAGATGTAGCCAAGATCACTGATGAAGGTGGCTATATTGAACAGATATTCAGTGTAGCCTTATGTCAGAAAAGATGCCATCTAGGACTTCCATAATTAGGAGAAGTCAGTGCCTGGCTTCAAAAGACAGGCTGACTGTTATTAGGAGCTGGTGTAGCTGGTGAATTTAGGTTGATGCCAGTGCTCATTTACCATTCTAATAATTCTAGGGCCCATAAATTTATGCTAAATCTACTCTGCCTGTGCTCTGTCAGTGGATCAACAAAACCTAGATGACAGCACATCTGTTTACAGAATGGTTTAATGAATATTTTAAGGCCACTGTTGAGACCTACTACTCAAAAGATTTCTTTCAGAATATTACTTCTTGACAGTATACCTGGTCACCTAAGAGCTCTGATGGAAATGTATAAGGAGATAAATGTTGTTTTCATGCTTGCTAACACAACATCTATTCTGCAGCCCCTGGATCAAGGAATCATTTTGATTTTCAAGTCTTATTTAAGAAATATGTTTCATAAGGCTCTAGCTGCTATACATAATAATTCCTCTAGTGGGTCTGGGCAGAGTGAATTGAAAACCTTTCGGAAAGGATTTACCATTCTAAATGCCATTAAGAACATTTGTGATTCATGGGAGGAGGTCAGTACATGAACAGGAGTTTGGAAGATGATTCCAGCCCTCATGGATGACTTTGAGGGGTTCAGGACTTCAGTGGAGGCAGGAACTGCAGATGTGGTAGAAATAGCAAGAGAACTCGAATTAAAAGTGGAGCCTGGAGATGTGACTGGATTGCTGTAATCTCATGATAAAACTTGAACAGATGAGGAGTTGCTGCTTATGGATGAGCAAAGAAAGTGATTTATTGAGATGGAATCTACTCCTGATGAAGATGCTGTGAACATTGTTGAAATGCCAATGAAAGATTTAGAATATTACATAAACGTAGTTGATTAAGCAGTGGCGGGGTTGAAGAGAACTGACTGCAGTTTTGAAAGAAGTTCCACTGTGGGTAAAATGCTATCAAACAGTTTGGCATGCTATAGAAAAATCTCTTAGAAAAGGAAGAGCCAGTCGATGCGTCAGACTTCATGGGTGTGTTATTTGAAGAAATTTGCCACAGCCACCTCAGCCTTCAGCAACCACCACCCTAATTAGTCAGCAGCCATCAACATGGAGGCAAGACCCTCCGTCAGCAAAAAGATTAGGACTCCCTGAAGGCTCAGATGATTGTTAGCATTTTTTAACGATAAAGTATTTTTTAAATTAAGGTATGAACATTGTCTTTTAGACATAATACCATTTCACACTTAGTAGACTGAAGTATAGCGTACACATATAAAAGTTAATATGTGCTGGAAAACCAGAAAATTTGTGTGACTCGCTTTATTGCCACGGTCTGGAACCAGACCCACAATACCTGCAATGTTATGCTTGTGGCTGATTTTTCATAGAATGTTTGTGTCTCTTTGACTTTTTTATTTTCAAAATTTAGGATTGCAGGTGACTCTCCATTGGCTTATTTCAGAATGACTGGGGTTAGGGTGTTTGCTAATTGCATGCCAGTGGTCAGGGAAGAAGGGAAAACTCTTGCACTTTAGAGGCCATCTGCCTCCAAGTAGAGCTCCAACTGTCAGGCCACTGTCCCTCTGTGGGGAGGGTGGGGATTGGTCCTGTGGCTTGTAGTTCTTGCCATATAGATTAAGAATGCGCTCCGTCGGCATTCTTCATTGTGAATTAGAGGATTGATGAGGATTTAACCCTGCTGTGATTTCTATGAATGGACTGTAGATCCCAGGGTGTGGGATCTTTCCTAACTCGAGAATGACAAAAATTACCTGTCACAGAGTGCTGTTACACCAATCAGTAGTTATTTATTGTGTTTTTTAGGGTTTATTTTGTTTGTTTGATAACCTCTTTTCCATTTTTTTCCTTGTTGTCTTTTACTTGTTTTTTTGTTTTTGTTTTTGTTTGTTTTTTTGAAGTGGAATCTCACTGTCACCCAGGCTGGAGTGTGCAGTGGTGAGATCTCGGCTCACTGCAACCTCTGCTTCCTGGGTGTACAAGCAAGTGATTCTCGGATTACAGGTGCCTGCCACCATGCCCAGCTAATTTTTGTATTTTTGGTAGAGACAGGGTTTCACCATGTTGGCCAGGCTGATCTTGAACTCCTGACCTCAAGTGATCTGCCTGCCTCGGCCTCCCAAAGTGCTGGGATTATAGGCGTGAGCCACCATGTCTGGTGTCTTTTACTTATTTTATTATTGGTTCAAGTTTTTACCTGAGAGAGGGAAAGAGGGTGGTAATTCTAACAGTGATAATTTTGATTTATATGGTACTTAGCTGTTTGCAGACTTACTGTGGGACATTCCCGTGTGGTGGCAAGGTAGGTTAACTCCACTTTTGCAGGTGAAGAATGTGAGACATATGGGTTAAATAACTTGCCCAAGTCACAGAACAAGTGGCAAGACTAGGAAGTATTTAGATTTCTTAATTCTAAATGTAGTACTTTTTCCAACAGATGACCCAGAAGAATCAATAGAAAACAAATTTAATAGTGGAAGCAATTGTATGTACAAATAAAATTGTATTTTTTGTTCACTTCGCTTACTAAAATAAAATCCTATTTCTAGATGATTTTCTAAACATGTTTTTCTTGGTCTCTTTGTTCAAGTCATTTAGTTTGACTCTAGGTAAGATAGTACTACTCAATGTTCTTTCTGTCACTTCAGGAGAGAGATGGTGTGCACCAGTTGATACCCAATGTTCCCTTGTTCTTCTCCCTGATATTACATCAGAGAAGTCCCCAGTTGAGAAGGGAGGAGGAAAGTTTTATGGTTACTGTTCCTCAAATCTCTTGGGAAAGACAGCAAACTGCTGTCAGGAGTAGTTTTCTTTTGTCTCAGTGTCTGTTACATTTATACATGGCACCCTCCTTATCATAGTTATGGCTTGCACCCTAAAATAAGGTCTAGAGCGACAGACATTTACAAAGTTCTTTTTTTTTTTTTTTTTGAGACAGAGTCTCATTCTGTTGGCCAGACTGGAGTGCAGTGGCACGATCTCGGCTCACTGCAACTTCTGTCTCCTGGGCTCAAGCAATTCTCCTGCCTCAGCCTCCCGAGTATGTGGGACTACAGGCATGCGCCACTATGCCTGGCTAATTCTTGTATTTTTTTTAGTAGAGGTGGGGTTTCACCATGTTGGCCAGGCTTGTCTTGAACTCCTGACCTCGTGATCCGCCTGCCCTGCCCTCCAAAAGTTCTGGGATTTACAGGCGTGAGCCACTGCACCCGGCACAAAGTTCTTATGCTACCGAAATGATCTTTTTGTTCTTCTGACCCTAATTATTAGGTTTTCTGACCCTAAATTAATTTGCTAATTCTTGATGCTCTTCTTGGATACTTAGATGTAACTATTTCACCTTAGTTTGGAGTTAGCATTTTGATGTTTTTAATATATTTGAAATAATCCTGCAAACTATTTTTTGGTTTGGGCTTTTAAGTGGGACGCTCAATCTTCAGAAGGACTTTTAGCTTATGGACACTTAAAAAAAGCAAGAACTAGCACATTGTTTCTTGGTATTTTGGAATTGTGGTGAGTTTGAGGCAACCGTGGAAGTGTAGAGTGTGTTGACTCACCTCCGCTCCTCCTAACTCCTGTGTTCATTTCACAGGAATTAATCGTCCAGACAATATTCCTCCCATGCCTGCATCCCCAGCCATATGGAGAGGACCCCATAAACTGTAAAAAGGTTCATTGGCTTTTATCTGGAGGGGACTAAACCCATAGAACTCGGTTCTGCTTTTTGCTTCATTTGACAGGTTGACCTATGGTGTTGGTACGTCCAGTAAAATCAAGTCTAAATGCTTTGGTTGACTGCATTTCTCATTGCTTTGCTCAGGAAGGCCAAGGACACATTAAAATCTGTTTGTCCCCTCCTATATTTTCTTTCTAAGGTTGTTAGCCAGCACTTTTGTTTTACAGTGTGTTTTTGTTTGGACTCGACTTCTGCTCGTAAATTAGGATGTGGTCAGTTAAGAGCATTTTGAATTTTAAACGTGTCTGTTTCACTGGTTTTGTGTCTCCATGTTTATGTATAGGGAAAGTAAGTTTTCATGTTTTTACATTTTGTTTGTACTAAACTTAAGTGCTTTCTTTCAAGGGCTAGAGGCATTGAAAGTAATTTTAAAAACTCTAAAGAAACCTTTTTATTCTCATTGCTTACATTTTTAATAACAAGTTAGGTAGCTTTTATTCTTCAGAAGTGGGATTTATTATGTAAAGCCACTTTTTGGAAGAGGTGAAAATTAACCTGCCTTTCCTTATGCCTCAGTGAGAGGTGAGGTTCAGAGCAGAGAATGCAGGTAGGGATTATGGAAACCCTTTCTTGGTATTAATTTTCCTCACAGATTAAAACTTTTGGTCTTCATCTGTTACCTTTACATTTGTCAGAAAGAGAATTTATATTGTCAACTTAATTCACCCAGTGTTCGATTGCTTGCTCTGTGCGTGGCAGTAAGAGAACTAAGGTCCCACGCTGTGGGGGAAATAGAAGGGTAGATAACTCTGGTAATGCTTATCATGGCTTGTGTTCTAGGAAGGTGTTAAGGGAAAAGTGCGATTTGCACTGGACTTGAAAGGTGAGTGGTATGTCAGCAAAGCTGGTATTATTCACGCAGAAGGACCAGGCTGAACAAACGAAAAGGTGCAGAAGGTGCCTGCTGGGTGTGCTGGGAATACACAGAACATTGCTAAGAACAGTAGAAGTTAGGGCACATTCCTTGTTAGTCCCAGCCTGTCTTCCTTACTGACTGGCTGTATAACCTTATGAGAGTTACTAAACTTTCTGAGCCTTTGTTTCCTCATCTGCAGAATGGCTAGTTACTGCATAATAGAGTTAAGATTAAATGAGACTATAATATATTGCATTGCAGCTGGGTGTGATGGCTCACACCTGTAATCCTAGCACTTTGGGAGGCCGAGGCAGGTGGATGACTTCAGGTCAGGAGTCCGAGACCAGTCTGGCCAACATGGTTAAAACCTCGCCTCTACTAAAAATACAAAAATTAGCCGGGTATTGTGGCACAAGCCTGTAATCTCAGCTACTTGGGAGACTGAGGCAGGAGAATTGCTTGAACCAGGGAGGCAGAGGTTGCACTGAGCCGAGATTGCACCAGTGCACTCCAGCCTGGACGACAGAGGGAGACTCTGTCTCAAAACAAACAAAAAATATTGCATTGCACATAATTTAAACACTCAATAAAAGTAGTTGCAATTATTGTTTTCTTTTAAATTTTATTTGTTTTAAAATTAGCATGTTGGTCAAACTAGTTTTTTTTTTTTTTTTTCTTTTTGGAGACGGAGTCTTGCTCTGTTGCCCAGGCTGGAGCGCAGTGGCACGATCTAGGCTCACTGCAAGCTCCGCCTCCCGGGTTGCTGGGACCACAGGTGCCCGCCACCACGCCGTGCTAATTTTTTTGTATTTTTTTTAGTAGAGATGGGGTTTCACCGTGTTAGACAGGATGGTCTCGATCTCCTGACCTCGTGATCCGCCCGCCTCGACCTCCCAAAGTGCTGGGATTACGGGCGTGAGCCACTGCGCCCGGCCGATCGAACTAGTTGCTGAAAGATGACTATGCCCTGTAATCCCACCCCCAAAACATCTGTTGTCAGCAGTTGAATGAATATCAGTCGTCTTTCTAATTTTCATCTCTGGCACCTTTGGTGCTGGTGGTACGTTGTTTTTTTTTTGTTTTGGTACAATCATGCCTCAGTTAACAACAGAATATTTCTAAGAAGTGCATCATTGAGTGATTTTTGTCGTTGTTCTAACATCTTAGGATGTACTTACACACACCTAGCCTGGGTGTAGCCGACTGCCCATCTAGGCTATGTGGTATAGCCTATTGCTCCTAGGATACAAACCTGTACCGCATGTTACTGTACTGAATGCTGTAGGAGATTGTAAAAGAGTGGTAAGTATGTATCTGCATATGTCTAAACATAGAGAAGGTACAGTAAAAATAAGGTATAAAAGATAAGGAAGTTGTTCTGGGTGAGTCAGTGAGTGAATGGTGAATGAAGGTAAAGGCCCAGGACGTTACTGCACACTACTGTAGATGTATAAACACTGTACATTTGGACTACACTAAATTTATTTTTTAAAGTTTTCTTGTTTTGATATTATTAACCTTAGATTACTGTAACTTTTTTTTTTTTTTTTTTGAGACGGAGTCTCTCTCTGTCGCCCAGGCTGGAGTGCGGTGGCTTGATCTTGGCTCACTGCAAGCTCCGCCTCCCGGGTTCACGTCATTCTTCTGCCTCAGCCTCTCGAGTAGCTGGGACTACAGGTGCCCGCCACCACACCTGGCTAATTTTTTGTATTTTTAGTAGAGACGGGGTTTCACCGTATTAGCCAGGATGGTCTTGATCTGCTGACCTTGTGATCCACCCGCCTGGGCCTCTCAAAATGCTGGGATTACAGGCATGAGCCACCAGTCCCTGGCCAGATTACTGTAACTTTTTTACTTTAAAAACTTTAAAAATTTGTAACCTTTTGACTCTTGTAATAACACTTAGCTTAAACCACAAATACATTGTGCAGCTGTTCAAAAATATTTTCTGTCATTGTGTTATTCTATAAACTTTTTTATGATTATTATTAATTACTCTTAGAGATAAGGTCTTACTCTGTTCCAGGCTGGAGTGCAGTGGCACAGTCATAGCTCCCTGTAACCTCAAACTCCTGGGCTCAAGCAACCCTCACTTAAGCCTCCTGAGTAGCTAGGACTACAGGTGCATACCACCGTGCTTGGCTACGTTTTTTTAGTTTTTATAGAGCTGGAGTCATGCTATGTTGCCCAGGCTGGTCTCAAACTCCTGGCATCAAGCAATCCTTTCTCCTCTGCCTCCCAAAAGTTCTGGAATTGTAGGTGTGAGCCACCAGGCCTAGCCACTTTATAAGCTTTTTTTTCTATTTATTATCATTATTTGAGACAGAGTCTTGCTGTGTCGCCCAGGTTGGAGTGGAATGGTGCAGTCTCAGCTCACTGCAGCCTCCATGTCGCGAGTTCAAGCGATTCTCCTGCCTTAGCCTCCCAAGTAGTTGGTACTACAGGCACACGCCATTACACCTGGCTAATTTTTGTGTTTTTTTTAGTAGAGACGGGGTTTCACCGTGTTGGCCAGGCTGGTCTGGAATTCCAGACCCCATGTGATCCACCCACCTTGGCCTTCCAAAGTACTGGGATTACAGACGTGAGCCACCTCACCGAGCCATATTTAAATATTTTTTATTTTTTATTTTTTCACTTTTTAAACACTTTTGTTAAAAACTAAGACACAAACACATGCATTAGCCTAAACCTACACAGGGTCAGAATAATCAATATCACTGTCTTCCAGCTTCACATCTTGGCCCACTGGAAGGTCTTTAGGGTCAGTAACACACATGGAGCTATCATCTCCTATGATAACAGTGTCTTTTGTTTGTTTGCTTTGGTTTTTTTTTTGAGACAGTCTCTCTCTGTCGCCCAGACTGGAGTGCAGTGGCATGATCTCGGCTCACTGCAACCTCCACCTCCCAGGTTCAAGCGATTCTCTGCCTCAGCCTCCTGAGTAGCTAGGACTTATAGGCACATGCTCCCACACCCAGCTTTAGTTAACTATTTTTATAAGTAGAATACATAGTATACATAACATAGAATTCTACATAGGATATGTAAACCAGTAACATAGTTTATTTTCAAGTATTATGTACTGTACATAGTTGTATGTGCTATGCTTTTATACCACTGGCAGTATATTAGGTTTACACTTGCATGACCATAAACAAGGAGGTAATATGTTGCATTATGACAGCTACAGCATCACCAGGCAATAGGAGTTTTTCAGCTCCATTGTACTCTGATGGGACCACCATTGTGTACGTGGTCATTGTTGACAGAAATGTGTTATGTAGCACGTGACTATTTTTATTGCTGTTGCTTCAACTTTAAGGTGTTTGGGAGGCAGGGAAGGGAAAGCTGTGTGGTACACCTGGAAGACAAGTCTGCATGTGCTGTACTAATAATTGGGAGCCAGTGAAGGTTTTAAAATAGGGGGTGAATTAATCAGATCTTTTTCAGTAAGATGCTGAAATGCAAGCTGGATTGGAGGGAAGTCTAGTAGCAGAGCAACAAGTGTTTGCTTGGCTGCTGTTTGAGGACCTTGTAGATGTGAGACATGTTTGTTACATGCCTTCAACAATACATGGCTCAGCTGGGGAGATAAGGCATTCATACCAAGTGGGGAAATAAGGACACAGCCACCAGGTAATGGTGTATGGACAAGAAGTGCTGTAGCTGTTTGGGGAAGGCAAGATCACCAAGCTGAGCCGTTTTCCTGAAGCCTTCAGTGAGGAAGCCAAATGGCCTTGAGGAATGACTCAGATTTGGAAAGTGTTTTGGGGAGAGGCCAAGCACAAATCAAGAGGTCGGAGCGCATGGTCTGTGTGGAGTGGTGGGTTTGGCCAATAGTGAGCAGTATGGTTGGAAAGGAAAATTGCCGTGGCCTTCAACAAACCTGTTGTTACGCACCCTATCTTCTGACCCTCTCTCTTCACTGTACTGTACCTGCGTTACTCTCTTGCAGTTTGAGGCTTTTCAGGATAGAACAGTGTCCTAGTTATTTTCCCAGGTCTAGTAAACAGCCCAGCACATAGTAGATGCTTAAAAACAACAATAAAAGAATGATTGGATATTTGCTGTTTATGGAAGTTACAGACTGGATATCCTGCCGTTCCCTTAAACTTAGATCTCAAATAAAATCCTAATATCACCTCTCTCCTTCCCTTTTTTATTCTGTGCTAAGTTTAAACAGGTTAGGTGCCCCTCTGCTCCCACAGCTGTGTGCTTACCTTGCCATTCCATAATTATGGACATCTCTGCTGTGATCATACTGCATGACTCTCACCAGCACGTTGGATGTCCAACATGTCACATTTGCTTGGGACCCCCCCACTGCCTTTCCTCCTTCCTACTTCTTCACTCTCCTTTTCTGGCTTCTTTTCCTCTTCTCCACCTTCTAAATGATAGAGTGATTGCAGGGATCAGTCACTCCAAGTTAGCCTCTAGACCAGTGGTTTTAAATCTTTTTGTTCAGCCATACCAAATGCCGGACAAGTACAAACACACTACACCGTCTTGTGCACACAGACACAACAGAAACAAAAGTTTCACAAAACGGTTCTTATACTTCATGAGCCGTGGACTCTGTTATTTTCCATTCTGCTCTATTTCATTTTTTTTTAAGTGCTGTTCATGACCCACTAAATTGATTTCACAGCCTGCAGTTTGAAAAACTGCTCTGGGTGATCTCATCTACTCTGTTGGCTTTAAATACTACCTCTGTGCTAATGACCTTCCCATTTTTATCTCTACTCCACCTTTCCTTGGAGATCCTGTCGCATTGGCTGTCTCCCTGCTGTTTCCATGTGGATGTGCAATGGGAATCGCGTGTTGCCATGTTTGGCAAAGCACTCTTGATTCCCTTTACCAGCCTCGTTCCTCTTCACAAATGGTGCAGTGTTTGCAGTTGTTCTGTAAGGGATGGTGAATGGAGTACAAGCTCCCCAGTCACTGCCTAAGCTCAGATCTGAGGCCTTGGGCAGCTACACAACCTCTCTCTACCATGTTGTCTTCATTTGAATAAAGTGGGGTTGTCACTTGTACCTCTTGGGATTATTGTGACAGTTGAATGAATTTTCACCTGAAAAGACATGGAGCAGTGGCTGGCACATGGCTTGTGTTTAACTAGTGTTGGCTGCTGCTGTTTATCATTGTTGTTATGACTCTCATGTCCACTTCTGATCCGTTAGCAATTTCTGTTGGCTCTGACTTCAGACTGTGTCCGTTTTGACTGTGTGTCACTACCTCCATCAACACCACATTCACCCATGCAGCCAACGTCCCTTAACCAGACTACCAACTAACTAATTCCCTGCTCTGTCCTTGCCCCTCCCCTGGTCTGTTTTCCACAAAACAGCCAGAGGAGCCATTTAAGAACTGAAACCAGATCATGCCACTCTATAGTTTAAAACCCTCCAAAGGCTTCTAATAAAATCTGAACTTCCCCATGTGGCTCTTACTTTTTATAAGACCTTTCACTGGTACTTCACAAACAGTAACATATGTGTGACTTGCTAGTGACCTTGTTAACATGCAGAATCTGATCCTGTAGGTCTGTGGGGCCTGAGACACTACATCTCTAATAAGCTTGACCAGGTGAATGTGGTAAATATCAGCAGTAGTGGGATGGGTTGCCATCAGTCTTCTTCTTATGCAATGTCCTGGGAAGAATACAGCACCATGTGTCTGGTATTGCCGCTAAGGAAGCATGACCTGAGTCTGGTCACGAGGAAATACAGATCAGATTGAGGGTTATCCTGCAAAATGAAAAGACTGTACTCTGGCAGGGACATGGAAGTCAGGAAGAGAAAAGGGAACTATTCCAGATTGATTGACACTGGTGAGATGTAGCTCTGGGGTAGACTCCTGGACTAGAAAGGAAAGACATTGTTGGGACAGCTGACAAAATTCAAATGGGGTCTATGGATTGGATTGAGAGTGTAGTATCAGTGTTGATTTCCTGATGTGGAGGCTTGTATGCTGGTTATGGAGGAGAATGTCCTTGTTTTTGGAAATAACGCACTAGAGTATTGAGCAACAATGGAGCTTCATGCCTTCAGCCTGCTCTCAAAGGGGTCAGGAAAAGATAATGGAGCAAATGAGGTAAAGCATCAGTTGGAGAATCTCGTTGAAAGAGGGTATGTGAGCCCTTTGAACTATTTTTGCACTTTTCTGTACATTTGAAGTAATTTAAAATTACTATTTTTTTTTGAGAGAGGCTGTTGCTCTGTCTCCCAGGCTGGAGTGCAATGGAACGATCTTAGCTCACTGCAGCCTCCAGAGTTCAAGTGATTCTTGTGCCTCAGCCACTCGAGTAGCTAGGATTACGGGCATGTGCCACCATGCCCAGCTAATTTTTGTATTTTTAGTAGAGACGGGGTTTCACTGTAATGGCCAGGCTGGTCTTGAACTCCTGGCCTCGTGTGTTCTGCCTGCCTTGGCCTCTCAAAGTGCTGGGATTACAGGCGTGAGCCACCACGCCCAGTCTTAAAAATTATTTTTTAATATCCTATTGAGATTTTGACTGGAACCTATTAGAATTTTATAAACTAATATGTGGAGACTTAACGTCTTTACAATACTAGCCCTTTTTATCTAGCTATACCATTTGTTCTGCTAGTTTGTTTCTTTCCTTTTGTTTTGAGCTTTTTTGGGTTGTTCAGTGAAGTCTCTAATTTTCATATAGCTTTTGCCCACTTCTGCTTTGGATTGGTCATTGATATCTTTTGAATTTTAATTCAGAATTGTATTTGTTTGTTTTATTATTATTTCTTTTTAAGAGACAGAATCTCACTCTGTCACCCACGCTGGATGGAGTTCAGTGGCGTGATCTTGGCTCACTGCAACCTCCACCTCCTGTGTTCAAGCGATTCTCCTGCCACAGCCTCCTGAGTAGCTGGGATTATAGGTTTCCGCCACCGTATGTGGCCAGTTTTTGTATTTTTAGTAGAGACAGCATTTCACCATGTTGGCCAGGCTGGTCTTGAACTTCTGACCTCAGGTGTGATCTGCCTGCCTCAGCCTTCCGAAGTGCTGGGATTACAGGCTTGAGCCACCAGGCCCGGCCTCAAAATTATATTTGAATGAATTATAAAATGGAACATCCTTTTAGCCTATAAGTGGCAACACTAATTACCTCCCTTTTGCCTCTGAAGGTTTAGAAATTATGTATTAATACAACCTTTGAATGAAAAAATATATTCAATGACATCTCAGAAGCCCCTACGCTCAGCATTTAAGAAAATCCCACAGGAGCCTCTAGCTAGCCCCAGAGATGTCCTGCTCCCACCCTTCTCCTGCCCCCTTTTTGGGAACTGTTTGGCCATCCTGCTCACATATGTGGTCATCTGAAGTGATCTTGGGATGCCCCTGTGAAAATAAGACAGATAGCCATGGAGTGGGGGTGGGGCCAGGATAGGGCCCAGGTGCCTTTGGTCTGCTCAGGAGCAGATTTATAGCATCTCCTTGCAGAGTTACAGAAGCATGTGGTGGATATAGGATGCTTGCAGCCTCTTGGCTGTTTGAAATTATGCCTAATAATAGGCCTGCCGACTGTGGGTTGGAATTCAGCTGACTTTAGGCCTGATTCTCAAAAAATAATTTTGAGCTAGTGACCCTGTGTGCACACTTGCCTGGGCACTGTGGTGTCCAACAACCCTGTGTGTGGCATTGGCACCAGGTTTCCTGAAGTAGAGGTCCTGTCTGGCAGGCTCCTCCCTTCCCTCCTGCTTCTGACTTGTGGGGTCCCCTGTGCCTCTATTTCTTTCCCTTGGGCAGAGCAGCACTTTGCTGTCAGTAGGAACAGATAAAGCTCTGATACTGTTGAGATAGTTCAAGGGTTGTAATTTTTTTTTTTTTTTTTTTTTTGAGACGGAGTCTCGCTCTGTCGCCCAGGCCGGACTGCGGACTGCAGTGGCGCAATCTCGGCTCACTGCAAGCTCCGCCTCCCGGGTTCACGCCATTCTCCTGCCTCAGCCTCCCGAGTAGCTGGGACTACAGGCGCCCGCCACCGCGCCCGGCTAATTTTTTGTATTTTTAGTAGAGACGGGGTTTCACCTTGTTAGCCAGGATGGTCTCGATCTCCTGACCTCATGATCCACCCGCCTCGGCCTCCCAAAGTGCTGGGATTACAGGTGTGAGCCACCGCGCCCGGCCTAAGGGTTGTAATTTTTAAATGAGGTTAATGACATTTTGGCTGAGCACTGTGGCTCACCCTGTAATCGCAGCACTTTGGGAAGCCAAGACAGGTGGATCACTTGAGGTCAGGAGTTCAAGACCAGCCTGGCCAACATGGCGAAATGCTGTCTCTACTAAAAATACAAAAATTAGCCGGACGTGGTGGCAGGCACCTGTAATCTCAGCTACTTGGGAGGCTGAGGCAGGAGAATTGCTTGAACCTGGGAGGCAGAGGCTACAGTGAGCCAAGATTGCACCACTGCACTCCAGCAGTGCAGTGTAAGACTCTGTCTCAAAAAAAAAAAAAAAAAGTGATTATTTCCTACACAAAAATTAATGTAAATAGAAATGAAAAGGGGAAAAAATACTTCCACAACACTGCCATCTTGGATAGTCCAGAAGTTTTCCTTTTTTCTCCATTATTCCCTTTGGCCTGGGACTAAATGAATGCCTCATTTTCAGATAGTTATAATCATAGCACAGGTATAAGTTTACGTGAGCTGCTCTTTTCATCTGATACTATGTAATTTTCTATGGTGCTAGAGTCTTTGCAATTGTTTAAAATGATTATGTACTATTTCTTTGAGTGGATATACCATAATTTGTTTAATCAATTTTCAAATAGGTTGTTGCCAGTTTTTTCTTCTAATACATATTACTGGAGTGAATATGTTGGTATTTTGTTTTTTTGTTTGGTTGACTGTTTTATTACCAGTTTTCTTTTCCAAGAGTCATAATCATTTATGGTGCTTTTTTTTTTTTTTTTTTTTTTTTTTTGTACCAGCTTTAGCCTAACCTAACCAGATGGGATATCATCTTTTAAATTTTTTAGGAAATTTTTTTTTTGAGACAGAGTCTCGCTTGTTGCCCAGGCTGGAGTGCAGTGGTGCGATCTCACTGCAATCTCTGCCTCCCAGGTTCACGCCATTCTCCTGCCTCAGCCTCCTGAGTAGCTGGGACTACAGGTGCCTACCACCACGCCCGACTAATTTTTTTGTATTTTTAGTAGAGACGGGGTTTCACTGTGTTAGCCAGGATGGTCTCAATCTCCTGACCTCGTTATCCGCCCACCTCGGCCTCCCAAAGTGCTGGTATTACAGGCGTGAGCCACTGCGCCTGGCCAGGAAATGTAATAGTTACAAATTTATCCCCCTAGTTTTTGCCTGCATGTATTTGGTCATGATTCAAGGTGGATATTTTTTATGGCTTACATGGCTAATATGAGTTTTGACACCCAGAAAGCAATCTTTTTAGATATGCAGCATTCTTGTGGGTTTCTTTCCTTCTAGACAAGGAACTGACTTGCGAATTCTGAGTTGCTTTCAGACTCTTCTGATCTCCCAAGTCAGGGAGGAAGCCAGCACCTTCATTACACTTCATTTTATTCTGAAGTCCTATTACACTAAGATAACTTTTAGCCACTGAGAAAAATATAGGCTCTGCCCATGTGCAAACAGGACATAGAGTATGAAATATTAAGTCACTGAGCAGATCTTTATGCTTGATACACTTAGGAAGATCCCACATTTGCACATACACAAAACAAACGATACAGGTGTTACAGATATATCTAGGTACAAGCAGTCAACTAAATTCTAGCAAGATTCCTCAAGATTCCTTTCTAAAATGCTTCCCAATGTCACAGATTGGGAAATACAGACTGGGTTTTGCAGTGGGCATATTATATATCTTATCTCATTGTTTACCATGAATATTTTGCTTGTTTAACTTCTGAGTCTCCATTTACAAAAAGGATTACTAACATTTCTTAGATCATGGTAAGGATGAAATGCATTAACATTTGTGTAAAGCACCTGATAGTGTGTCACATGTGTGAGGCATGGCAATAATTGATAGCTACAGTTATTAGAGATCTGACCCAAGTGTGTGTCAGGATTTTCAAAAATATGCATTTGGATCTTCCTTGCCTAATTTTGTGGTACAGTGAAAGAAAGGGTTATGGGCTCTAGAATCAGAAGAATTGGAGTTACAGAATGTCAGCTCCAACTTGTCCTAGAGGAGTGACTTTTGGAAAATTTGGACTTTTGGAAAAAATTACATTAATTTTTCCCCCTCATTCATTAATTGAGTTACAGGTAAAACCACACAGTGACTAACATATATAGATTGCTAAATAAATGGCAATTATTTATTTATTTACTGGGACAGGTCTTACTGTAGCACCCAGGCTGGAGTGTAGTAGCGTGCAGCCTCGGCTCACTGCAACCTCTGCCTCCCAGGCTCAAGTGATCCTCCTGCCTCAGCCTCTGGAGTGGCTGGGACTACAGGCACAAGCCAGCACACCCAGCTAATTCTTTTGTATTTTTTGTGGAGACGGGGTCTTGTTATGTTGCCCATGCTGGTCTCCTGAGCTCAAACAGTCTGCCTGCCTCGGCCTCCCAAAGTGCTGGGATTACAGGTGTGAGCCACTGTGGCCGGCCAGCAATTTTTATTATATCAGTGGTACATACCTTAGATACTGGTTAAAGGTAAATACTTTAATTGGTTTGTTTTTACTAAGCAAGGTAAAGCCAACACATTCTCTGCTTAGAGGAAGATTTGTAGAGAAAATCACATGGATAACACATTTTAGGAGCTCTTAAGATACAGCAGGACACATTCTAAGAGCTCTTAAGAACCATATGATCTCATGTGGCAAGAAGGAATTTATGGGCCTGGGGATGCTTAAAAGGCTCCAAGTTGAGACCAAGGTGAGAGTGGGCCGATGGCACAAAGGGGGCTGAGCAGGCTTGTTTGAGAGGGTGGGGAGAAGCAGAAATTGTGTTGGGAAGATGTCACAGGGCTTCAGGGCCTATGGGGGGGTGTGATGGTGTCAAAATGGCAGTTAAGCAAAAGAAAGTACTGGGAAAGAGAACTTTTCAGGTGTTATTCTAGCCCAAGAAAGATGAAAATGACAGTGACGAGAATGGAATGGGAAAGGACAAATACAGGAAGGAGAGTAGTGTCATGATGAGGTAGCATGGTAAATACAGAGTCAAAGTGAAAGGTCAGTTTGGGGTTATTCTAAAGCTTCTTGCTTGGGATGATCATGGTTTTCTTTGAGAATAGGCAGTTGGGTCAGTTGAGGAAGAACAACCTTATCTTTGTCATTGAAAATGAGTTAGTTACTGCCTAATAATAAATGCATTTGTTGTCTTTTAGAAATGATTACAGTCACAAGTGACACTGTCCAGAGTCCTTAAGTACTGATCTGTCTAGAGGGCCAGAGGCCTTGCTCTGTCTCTGCATGGTCATTAAAACCTTTGCCATATGGGGCCGGGCGCGGTGGCTCATGCCTGTAATCCCAGCACTTTGGGAGGCTGAGGCGGGCGGATCATGAGGTCAGGAGATCGAGACCATCCTGGCTAACACGGTGAAACCCTGTCTCTACTAAAAATACAAAAAATCAGCCAGGCACGGTGGTGGGCGCCTGTAGTCCCAGCTACTTGGGAGGCTGAGGCAGGAGAATGACGTGAACCCGGGAGGCGGAGCTTGCAGTGAGCCGAGATATCGCCACTGCACTCCAGCCTGGGCAACAGAACGAGACTCCGTCTCAAAAAAAAAAAAAAAAACCCTTTGCCATATGGTTAATAAGCCCTATAGACCCCACATCCTTGGCATTCAGAGCCCAGCACCTGCCTGCAACTCTCTTCATAGTATCTCATCCAATTTTGGACTTTGGGCATTTCTTACTTTCTTGCAACTTGGCTATACATTTTGTCTGACATTTCTAAGTGTTTTGTTGAGGGAGGATTTTTAGTCCCTGTTCTATGTCATAGTGCATGAAATAGAAGTCTCTCATTCCCCAAGTGGCAATAGTCTACTCTGAAATCCTAGGAATGAGAAGAACTCTTATCAGTCAGGGTCCCAGTAGAAAACAGATGGCACATTCAAACTGGGTAATTTAAGGAGTGTTTAATTGTATCATTCAGGGTTCATTCAGGAAAAGAGAAGTTGTCTATTCCGGTATGAATGGTTTTGATACAGGAATTAAGGCTTTACCCAACCCTGGAAGAACTGGAATTGGGAAGGTTCCTGATGATTTCATACTGAAGTGTCATAGTGAATGGTTCTCGTGAGCTCATGGGGAAGCCGCTATGAATCCACGTGTGCTGCATCTACCTCCAGGGAATATCATCAACCTCTACGTTTATTTTGCCTTCTAAATCTCTCTTGCACTTCTCATTGCAAACTCTAACCCAGAACCATGCTGCTAAAGGGTTCTGGAACGGAAGTTCTCAGCTTCTGATCTGCAGAGGAGAGCTTGGAAGGAGGGTGGTCACGATGCTGAGTTGACAACAATGCAGAAGATTAATAAAGGGACTGGAAAGGGTGAGCAGGGTTTGGGGAAGCCAACAGGAAAGTGAAGTCTTCTGTGCTAGCAGTAGCAGGGAGTTGTTACCTACTGCCTTCTAGACCTGAAGGGCAGAGGATGAAGTGGTTCCTGGAGTTTGGAGAAAGTGGCTATATGTTGAGGTTGCCCGATGGAGCTGCAGCCATTGGTGGAGGGTCTCAGCCAGCCTCAGTAACCTCGGGGTGGGAGCCAGGAGAGTAAGTTCCTCTCACTTTCCTCCTCTCCTGCCTCTTACCAGCCAAACTGGGTCAGAAGGCAAGGGTGGTGGGGCCTGTCAGTTGTCCTTCCATTGTCCGTTCTAGGGCATAGAGTAGGGTGGAGATGGGTGAGGAGAGGCTGTGGGGGCAAACAGGGAATATCCCTTACACAGGCTATAACTAGATGCATCATTGTCAATGTCTTGAGGATTTAAAGGCAAAGAAGGAGAATAAGCAGAAAATCATGACAGAGGATGAAAAAATTAGCTGGGGCCAGGCACAATGGCTGAATTCTAGCACTTTGGGAGGTTGAAACAGCAGGATGGCTTGAGCCCAGGAGTTTGAGACCAGCCTGGACAGCACAGTGAGACTCTGTCTCTATTTTTAAGAAATTATAAAAATTAGCCATAGTCCCAATTATTTTTTAAAAATTAGCCAGGGGTCCCATGCCTGTGGTCCCAGCTACTTGGGAGGCTGAGGCAGGAGGATTGCCTGAGCTGGGAGTTGAGGCCGCAGTGAGCCTGTGGTCATGCCACTGCACTCCAGCCTGGGCAACAGAGTGAGACTCTCTTTCCAAAAAAGAGAATGGATTGGGAAGTGGGATGTTGTTGGACATATGGAGGAAGAAGGACAGAGAAAGCCAATGTTGGTTTTCTATAAGAGGGCAAGGTCATCAGCCCTCTAATAGGATGGGGAGAACAAGTCTGCAGCTGGTTATGAGTGAGTTTGTGAGGTCGGCACATGGACTCTGGAATGTTTAGGCACAGAGTTCTGGACCTCACTAATACACCTCCACAGCCCTTCTGAAACTGTTCAGAAAGTTAGGAATATAGGAGAAAAACAGGAAAGGGAGAGTCATTATGGATGGGAAGTACATCGGTAGGCCTCTTTTTTATTTATTTATTGAGACGGAATCTCGCTTTGTTGCCCAGGCTGGAGGGCAGTGGCGCGATCTCTGCTCACTGCAACCTCTGCCTCCGAGGCTCAGGCGATCCTCCTGCCTCAGCCCCCCGAGGTGCTGGGACTACAGGCACGCATCACCATGCCTGGCTAATTTTTGTATTTTTTATAAAGATAGGGTTTCGCCATGTTGCCCAGGCTGGTCTCGAACTCCTGAGCCCAAGTGATCTGCCCGCCTTGACCTCCCAAAGTTCAGGGATTACAGGGGTGAGCCACTGTGCCCAGCCTCTTTTTTAGAGTGTGTATGCAAGTTCCTTAGGTGACTTATTCCTTTGAGGTATCAGATTTTCCTTACTATTTGTATTCATTTAAACAAAGGAATTCAGGCACTTATTATTACTAATCACAGTGCTTTAAAACTGACTACACTGATGCTTTTTTTAAGATGATGGGATAAAATTGGAATTATCTCTATTAGCTTTTTTTTTTTTTTTTTTTTTTTTTTGAGACAGGGTTACTGTCACCCAGGGTGGAGCACATTGGCACATTCATAGCTCGTTGCAGCCTCGAACTCCTGAGTTCAAGCAATCGTCCTACCTCAGCCTCTTGAGCAGCTGGGACTGTAGGCACACCTCATGACACTGTGCATTTAAAATTTTTTTTAACCCAGGCTGGTCTTGAACTCCTGACCTCAAGCGATCCTCACACCTCAGCCTCCCAAAACACTGGGATTACAGGTGTGAGCCACCACACCCAGCCTATTACTTATTTTATAGCTCCAGGTTTACATTTTCTGTCGTTGGTATATGCTAGTTGGTTTTCTTAATTGGTTTACTTGGCATTCCTAAAAAAGATAAACCTGGGCAACCACCTTCTCCTACTCAGGTGCTTCATGTATACTAAGAATATTTAGCATGACTGGAACCCTGCAGGAGGTATTTGGCCTTGGATTTTTTTTTTTTCTTTTTCATAAAGTAGAACCATAACAATAGGGAAAGGGGTATCATACAGGACAGGGAATCTGCAGGGGAAGGCTGAGAACAGACCTAAGAAGGAGTCCTTCCTGTATCTGTTTTCCCTGTCTGGAGATAGGGCAGCCTCAGGCCTGATACCCTGATGTTTAAAGTGGCCTTTAGCTCTTGGTGGCTCCTATTTAGGAAGAATATGGAGCAAGTGGCAACATTGTTTATACACTCAGATCTTCAGAAGCCTGATTTTATTTCCAGAAGGATTAATTAAACAACATGTAACATAGCTTTTTATAGAGAATATCTCTTGAGAAGGCTTTTCATTAGTTTAAACTGCTAGCTTTAATGTTTTTGTTCAATTTAGCCCCCATTCAGCCTTGTTTTATCTAGAGAAGGCCACTGGCACTGAGGAGTAGAGCAGGAGCACATCACAAGGGGAAAAAATTAATACTCATGTAGACAGAATTGCTCTTGATAGTTCTAAGAATGATGGGGAGCGGGTGAAGAGCCAGCTGGAACAGTATGGAGGTCCTTATAAGAGGGTGGCAGTGAAGGGACAGATTTATTGTGGGTGGCTACCCACTTTCAAGGCCAAACTGACAGGACAACTGGTATTTTTTACTGACCATGTGGAAGACCCTCTGGGCAATGTAATGTTAAAAACATGTCCTGCCCCCAGCCCTGCTGCCTAGGAGCTTTGTGAACTCTGCTTCTGTTTCCTCATCTGTAAAAGGAGCGTGCTAGTGTTGTGAGGATTAAATGAGTTAGTGTATGTGAAGTGCTGGAACAGTGTCAAGCAGCATCATCACCATTTGAATAGCTATTACCTACTGCCCTGCAGATTCACTGGAACAAAGCAACAGAGGCATTTTGAATAGGATGAGAAGTTTCCTTTAGATTCTGACATTATTTGCACATGAATGTTTAGCGATTGTTTTGGGTCACATGACTATATAATCAAGCTTAAGGAAGTAGACCCTTGTCTAGCTGTTTTAGACTTACGATATTTCAAGATATGGGTCAAGCTTTTAGAATTTGGGGTTACTGGCCATCTTCTGCTCTAATCAATATTTACTTTCTGAAGTCTTTCCTCAGTTCTCATGTGGACTCAAGCTGGGTCTTTCCCTTAGAACCGGACTCATGGGATTTTACAGGCAAGGTCTTCAGCATCCTCCAGCTCTGCTTTTAGGTTGATCATATTCTATTTTCACTTTCTATAATTCTCTCATGTCACTCCCACAGCACCATCTCTGAATATGTGAGTTCTAGCCTAGTTCTCTAAGGCCTAGTTCTTACACCATTTAATCATTCACACAGACTCCGGTGTGATGACGTGAGGATTACAGCAAGGAACAGTCAGTTTCTGCCCTTTAAGGAGTTTACATTTTAGTCAGAGGAGAGACAGACAGTAAACAAGTAGCATATATGTGTCTGTTTGGAGTAAGTATGGGGCCAGGCAGGGGATAAAACAGGGGAGGGAGTTACAGCCAGGGAAAAGGTGTGGAGCTGGCTGTTTTTACTAGAATGACCAGGGAATGAGTGACACTTGCCCAAAGACTGGAAGGAGAGCAAGCTATCTGGCTCTGGGAGAAGAACGTGCAGGTGAGAACAGAGTTCCTATGTAGATATGTGGTAGGCCTGTTCCAGGAACAAGGCAACTGTGGGGCTAGAGCAGAGAGTGATAGGGGAGGAGCTCAGAGAGGTCAAGGGGGTGGGAGCAGGGGCCTTTGAGACCAGTTTCCCAAAGAATGAGGTGGGAGCCACTCCAGGGATTGGAGAGGATAAATCTGACTTACCTTTAAAAAGGTTGTTGACTTTCCTGCAGGCAACTCCATTTTCAGCTCCCCTTCAGGGGAACTAGGAAACTAGCTTCATAAACCATTGTAACTAAACTAAACTGTCTATTACACCTCACTTTACCCTATATGTATTTTGGAACTTGTTTTTTTAAGTAATTGGTTCTAAAGTCACTTGGAGCAATTTGGCCTTGTCCCTTTCATCTCTGACTCTGAGGAGACAGGCCCAGGTGAAAGGGGAAAAAATCAGCTTGATTGATTAAGAGGGATTATAATAGGTAATACAAAGTGGTGGCTCAGTCAGATAACTTTGAAAGAGTCTGGGTCCTAGGCTTGATGAATTCCTATTTTCCTCTCTGTTTTTTGCTGTCCTCCAAGATGATTGCTTCTAATTCTTTCATAGTAATGGCCAGTAATAACTGTGAATTTAAAAAACTGGCAAATACAAATACCACATGGCGGGTAAAGGTGCTGGAACTTCTTGGAAACCTCCCAAAATAATCTGGAAGAATAGTCACTGCTATTCACTGGCTTAAGTCTAGCCCTTTGTACCTGGGAATTGAAGGAGAGTGGTGGAGAGAGGGGTGCTGTAGACACAGTCATATGCCAAGAAGAGGTTGACTCCAAAGTTTGTGTGGAACCCATATGGGCTGAGTGTCCTGGAGTCACCAGTCATCACAGGTAGTTGGCAATTATAGTAAAGCTGCAAAAATTTGCACTTGGACATAAGGAATTGGCTGCAGTTCTCTGGCCAGGTCTGTTTCTCAGTGTTGGGGAGTGGCGATCAGCAGCCAGTGTTAAAACCCGCAGTTCAGTGATCACCCTAATACATGAAAGCAGAGAAATGAAAGTAGTGGCTTATGCCTGTAGTCCCAAAACTTTGAGAGGCCGAGGCAGGAGGATCATTTGAAGCCAGGTGTTTGATGCTGCAGTGAACTACGACTGTGCCCCTGCACACTCCAGCCTGGGCAAGAGTGAGACCTTGTCTCAAAAAAAAAAAAAAAAAAAAAAAAAAAAGGATTTGGTTTTTCTTACCCCACACCCCCTCCCCCGCATAACTGGGAGGCTTATTGAAAAATTGCTGTTTTTCATTGACAGTAATAACACAGCCCCATATTTTAATCTGGTTGAGTTTGGGGGCTCATTTGTCTAATAAGGCATTATTAGATATATGAGACATACATGTTTTTGCTGTATTGGGTTTGTATGCACTCAGAGTGCTGCTTTTCATTCTACTACAGATTCTTGCCTCACTCTTTAGGCCATTTCTCTGCATATGTGCATTTTCAGAAGTGGATAGGATAAAATATAAAAGATGAAATTCAAGGTCAGGCGTGGTGGCTCATGCCTGTAATTCCAGCACTTTGGGAGGCCGAGGTGGGCGGATCACGAGGTCAGGAGTTCGAGACCAGCCTGGCCAGCACAGTGAAACCCTGTCTCTACTAAAAATACAAAAAATTAGCCGAGCCTGGTGGCCATGCGCCTGTAGTCCCAGCTACTCGGGAGGCTGAGGCAAGAGAATTGCTTGAACCCTGCAGGCAGAAGTTGCATTGAGCTGAGATCGTGCAATTGCACTCCAGCCTGGGTGACAGAGTGAGACTCTTGTCTCAAAAAACCAAAAAAAAAAAATAGAAATTCAAACCAGTCAGCTTCATCTGGGCCTCTGATTCATCTTTATTCCCTCCATCATCTAGACTTGATTTTATTTGTACCAAGGAGATGCGTGTCTAATGTTTTTCTTTCTTCTATTTCTAGGAGGGCTGTTGGCCTGCTGCTGTGCTGCTGAACAGTATGCAGTCCTTTCGGGAGCAAAGCAGTTACCACGGAAACCAGCAAAGCTACCCACAGGAGGTACACGGCTCATCCCGGCTAGAAGAGTTCAGCCCTCGTCAGGCCCAGATGTTCCAGAATTTTGGAGGTACAGGTGGCAGTAGTGGCAGCAGTGGCAGTGGCAGTGGTGGTGGACGACGAGGAGCAGCAGCTGCTGCGGCAGCGATGGCTAGCGAGACCTCTGGCCATCAAGGTTACCAGGGTTTCAGGAAAGAGGCTGGAGATTTTTACTACATGGCAGGCAACAAAGACCCCGTGACTACAGGAACCCCACAGCCTCCTCAGCGAAGGCCTTCTGGGCCTGTGCAGAGCTATGGACCCCCCCAGGGGAGCAGCTTTGGCAATCAGTATGGGAGTGAGGGTCATGTGGGCCAGTTTCAAGCACAGCACTCTGGCCTTGGCGGTGTGTCACATTATCAGCAGGATTACACTGGGCCTTTCTCTCCAGGGAGTGCTCAGTACCAACAGCAGGCTTCCAGCCAGCAGCAGCAGCAGCAAGTCCAGCAGTTGAGACAACAGCTTTACCAGTCCCATCAGCCCCTGCCACAGGCCACTGGCCAACCAGCATCCAGCTCATCCCATCTACAGCCAATGCAGCGGCCCTCAACTCTGCCATCCTCTGCTGCTGGTTACCAGTTAAGAGTGGGTCAGTTTGGCCAACACTATCAGTCTTCTGCTTCCTCCTCCTCCTCCTCCTCCTTCCCTTCACCACAGCGTTTTAGCCAGTCTGGACAGAGCTATGATGGCAGTTACAATGTGAATGCTGGATCTCAGTATGAAGGACACAATGTGGGTTCTAATGCACAGGCTTATGGAACACAATCCAATTACAGCTATCAGCCTCAATCTATGAAGAATTTTGAACAGGCAAAGATTCCACAAGGGACCCAACAGGGGCAGCAGCAGCAGCAACCGCAGCAACAACAACACCCTTCTCAGCATGTGATGCAGTATACTAACGCTGCCACCAAGCTGCCCCTGCAAAGCCAAGTGGGGCAGTACAACCAGCCTGAGGTTCCTGTGAGGTCCCCCATGCAGTTTCACCAGAACTTCAGCCCCATTTCTAACCCTTCTCCAGCTGCCTCTGTGGTTCAGTCTCCAAGCTGTAGTTCTACCCCATCTCCTCTCATGCAGACTGGGGAGAATCTCCAGTGTGGGCAAGGCAGTGTGCCTATGGGTTCCAGAAACAGAATTTTACAGTTAATGCCTCAACTCAGTCCAACCCCATCAATGATGCCCAGTCCTAATTCTCATGCTGCAGGCTTCAAAGGGTTTGGACTAGAAGGGGTACCAGAAAAGCGACTGACAGATCCTGGGTTGAGTAGTTTGAGTGCTCTGAGTACTCAAGTGGCCAATCTTCCTAACACTGTCCAGCACATGTTACTTTCTGATGCCCTGACTCCTCAGAAGAAGACCTCCAAGAGGCCCTCATCTTCCAAGAAAGCAGATAGCTGCACAAATTCTGAAGGCTCCTCACAACCTGAAGAACAGCTGAAGTCCCCTATGGCAGAGTCATTAGATGGAGGCTGCTCCAGCAGTTCAGAGGATCAAGGCGAGAGAGTGCGGCAACTAAGTGGCCAGAGCACCAGCTCTGACACCACCTACAAGGGTGGAGCCTCTGAGAAAGCTGGCTCCTCACCGGCACAAGGTGCTCAGAATGAACCCCCCAGACTCAATGCTAGTCCTGCCGCAAGAGAAGAGGCCACCTCACCAGGCGCTAAGGACATGCCATTGTCATCCGACGGGAACCCAAAGGTTAATGAGAAGACTGTTGGGGTGATTGTCTCCCGGGAAGCCATGACAGGTCGGGTAGAAAAGCCTGGTGGACAAGATAAAGGCTCCCAAGAGGATGATCCTGCAGCCACTCAAAGGCCACCTAGCAATGGTGGGGCAAAGGAAACCAGTCATGCATCACTTCCCCAGCCAGAGCCTCCAGGAGGAGGAGGGAGCAAAGGAAACAAGAATGGCGATAACAACTCCAACCATAATGGAGAAGGAAATGGCCAGAGTGGCCACTCTGCAGCGGGCCCTGGTTTTACGAGCAGAACTGAGCCTAGCAAATCTCCTGGAAGTCTGCGCTATAGTTACAAAGATAGTTTCGGGTCAGCCGTGCCACGAAATGTCAGTGGCTTTCCTCAGTATCCTACAGGGCAAGAAAAGGGAGATTTCACTGGCCATGGGGAACGAAAGGGTAGAAATGAAAAATTCCCAAGCCTCCTGCAGGAAGTGCTTCAGGGTTACCACCACCACCCTGACAGGAGATATTCTAGGAGTACTCAAGAGCATCAGGGGATGGCTGGTAGCCTAGAAGGAACCACAAGGCCCAATGTCTTGGTTAGTCAAACCAATGAATTAGCTAGCAGGGGCCTTCTGAACAAAAGCATTGGGTCTCTATTAGAAAATCCCCACTGGGGCCCCTGGGAAAGGAAATCAAGCAGCACAGCTCCTGAAATGAAACAGATCAATTTGACTGACTATCCAATTCCCAGAAAGTTTGAAATAGAGCCTCAGTCATCAGCACATGAGCCTGGGGGTTCCCTCTCTGAAAGAAGATCAGTGATCTGTGATATTTCTCCACTAAGACAGATTGTCAGGGACCCAGGGGCTCACTCACTGGGACACATGAGTGCCGACACCAGAATTGGGAGGAATGACCGTCTCAATCCAACTTTAAGTCAGTCGGTCATTCTTCCTGGTGGTTTGGTGTCCATGGAAACCAAGCTGAAATCCCAGAGCGGGCAGATAAAAGAGGAAGACTTTGAACAGTCTAAATCTCAAGCTAGTTTCAACAACAAGAAATCTGGAGACCACTGCCATCCTCCTAGCATCAAGCATGAGTCTTACCGCGGCAATGCCAGCCCTGGAGCAGCAACCCATGATTCCCTTTCAGACTATGGCCCGCAAGACAGCAGACCCACGCCAATGCGGCGGGTCCCTGGCAGAGTTGGTGGTCGGGAGGGCATGAGGGGTCGGTCCCCTTCTCAATATCATGACTTTGCAGAAAAATTGAAAATGTCTCCTGGGCGGAGCAGAGGCCCAGGGGGAGACCCTCATCACATGAATCCACACATGACCTTTTCAGAGAGGGCTAACCGGAGTTCTTTACACACTCCCTTTTCTCCCAACTCAGAAACCCTGGCCTCTGCTTATCATGCAAATACTCGGGCTCATGCTTATGGGGACCCTAACGCAGGTTTGAATTCTCAGCTGCATTATAAGAGACAGATGTACCAACAGCAACCAGAGGAGTATAAAGACTGGAGCAGCGGTTCTGCTCAGGGAGTAATTGCTGCAGCACAGCACAGGCAGGAGGGGCCACGGAAGAGTCCAAGGCAGCAGCAGTTTCTTGACAGAGTACGGAGCCCTCTGAAAAATGACAAAGATGGTATGATGTATGGCCCACCAGTGGGGACTTACCATGACCCCAGTGCCCAGGAGGCTGGGCGCTGCCTAATGTCTAGTGATGGTCTGCCTAACAAGGGCATGGAATTAAAGCATGGCTCCCAGAAGTTACAAGAATCCTGTTGGGATCTTTCTCGGCAAACTTCTCCAGCCAAAAGCAGCGGTCCTCCAGGAATGTCCAGTCAAAAAAGGTATGGGCCGCCCCATGAGACTGATGGACATGGACTAGCTGAGGCTACACAGTCATCCAAACCTGGTAGTGTTATGCTGAGACTTCCAGGCCAGGAGGATCATTCTTCTCAAAACCCCTTAATCATGAGGAGGCGTGTTCGTTCTTTTATCTCTCCCATTCCCAGTAAGAGACAGTCACAAGATGTAAAGAACAGTAGCACTGAAGATAAAGGTCGCCTCCTTCACTCATCAAAAGAAGGCGCTGATAAAGCATTCAATTCCTATGCCCATCTTTCTCACAGTCAGGATATCAAGTCTATCCCTAAGAGAGATTCCTCCAAGGACCTTCCAAGTCCAGATAGTAGAAACTGCCCTGCTGTTACCCTCACAAGCCCTGCTAAGACCAAAATACTGCCCCCACGGAAAGGACGGGGATTGAAATTGGAAGCTATAGTTCAGAAGATTACATCCCCAAATATTAGGAGGAGCGCATCTTCGAACAGTGCGGAGGCTGGGGGAGACACGGTTACGCTTGATGATATACTGTCTTTGAAGAGTGGTCCTCCTGAAGGTGGGAGTGTTGCTGTTCAGGATGCTGACATAGAGAAGAGAAAAGGTGAGGTGGCTTCGGACCTAGTCAGTCCAGCAAACCAGGAGTTGCACGTAGAGAAACCTCTTCCAAGGTCTTCAGAAGAGTGGCGTGGCAGCGTGGATGACAAAGTGAAGACAGAGACACATGCAGAAACAGTTACTGCCGGAAAGGAACCCCCTGGTGCCATGACATCCACAACCTCACAGAAGCCTGGTAGTAACCAAGGGAGACCAGATGGTTCCCTGGGTGGAACAGCACCTTTAATCTTTCCAGACTCAAAGAATGTACCTCCAGTGGGCATATTGGCCCCTGAGGCAAACCCCAAGGCTGAAGAGAAGGAGAACGATACAGTGACGATTTCACCGAAGCAAGAGGGTTTCCCTCCAAAGGGATATTTCCCATCAGGAAAGAAGAAGGGGAGACCCATTGGTAGTGTGAATAAGCAAAAGAAACAGCAGCAGCCACCGCCTCCACCCCCTCAGCCCCCACAGATACCAGAAGGTTCTGCAGATGGAGAGCCAAAGCCAAAAAAACAGAGGCAAAGGAGGGAGAGAAGGAAGCCTGGGGCCCAGCCGAGGAAGCGAAAAACCAAACAAGCAGTTCCCATTGTGGAACCCCAAGAACCTGAGATCAAACTAAAATATGCCACCCAGCCACTGGATAAAACTGATGCCAAGAACAAGTCTTTTTACCCTTACATCCATGTAGTAAATAAGTGTGAACTTGGAGCCGTTTGTACAATCATCAATGCTGAGGAAGAAGAACAGACCAAATTAGTGAGGGGCAGGAAGGGTCAGAGGTCACTGACCCCTCCACCTAGCAGCACTGAAAGCAAGGCGCTCCCGGCCTCGTCCTTTATGCTGCAGGGACCTGTTGTGACAGAGTCTTCGGTTATGGGGCACCTGGTTTGCTGTCTGTGTGGCAAGTGGGCCAGTTACCGGAACATGGGTGACCTCTTTGGACCTTTTTATCCCCAAGATTATGCAGCCACTCTCCCGAAGAATCCACCTCCTAAGAGGGCCACAGAAATGCAGAGCAAAGTTAAGGTACGGCACAAAAGTGCTTCTAATGGCTCCAAGACGGACACTGAGGAGGAGGAAGAGCAGCAGCAGCAGCAGAAGGAGCAGAGAAGCCTGGCCGCACACCCCAGGTTTAAGCGGCGCCACCGCTCGGAAGACTGTGGTGGAGGCCCTCGGTCCCTGTCCAGGGGGCTCCCTTGTAAAAAAGCAGCCACTGAGGGCAGCAGTGAAAAGACTGTTTTGGACTCGAAGCCCTCCGTGCCCACCACTTCAGAAGGTGGCCCTGAGCTGGAGTTACAAATCCCTGAACTACCTCTTGACAGCAATGAATTTTGGGTCCATGAGGGTTGTATTCTCTGGGCCAATGGAATCTACCTGGTTTGTGGCAGGCTCTATGGCCTGCAGGAAGCGCTGGAAATAGCCAGAGAGATGGTGAGTATGAGAAATCTCTTACCAGCTTGGGATTTTTATTTCATTTGGTTCCTTTTCTTGCATGTTTTTGTTCTTACATGTCACATGATTATTCCTCCAAATTAAAGTGCCTATGCCCATGTGATGGACAGAAAATGAAATAGGTAATTTGGAAGATTTGTATAGACTTCTAAAATCGTTTTTCATTTTTTGAAATGTATAATGCTTATGAAGCATATTATTATATTTCAAGTTTCTTGGGCCACATCTTTTCTAACGCACACTTTCCAGTTAGGATATTTATTCTTTGGATCTGTTTCATAACTTATCCTGGGGCAGATCATCAACATCATCATCTTCATTTCTTTCTCTCCTCTATTGAATGTTCTGTTTCCTGAATCCCATTTCTTCCTCATTCTTAAAGTGAGCCTTCATTTAAGGGCGTGCATCATCCTTTAGTAGTTTTGTGAGAAAGGGTGTGTGGGAGTGTAAAAATGTTGAGATCCTATATATCTGAGCATGACTTTATCCTAGCCTCATGCTTAATTGAGAGTTGGCTAGGTGTGGAATTCTAGATTGGAAGTGATTTTTCTCTCACTGTCTTGCAGTCGTTCTTCCTGGTTTGTCCACTAGCTTCCAGTGCTGCAGTTGAGAAGACTGCCATTCTAATTTTTCATCCCTTGATGCATGTTCTGTTTTTCTTCTGGAAAGTTTGAGGATCTTCTCCTTTTCCCTAGGGTCTTGAGATGTCAAAATGATAGGTCTTGACTAGGTCATTTCATGGTTGTGTTGGCTACTCTATGAGATCTTATGTACGCTGATGTCTTTCAGTTCAGGCAATTTGTCATGTGGTAGTTCTTTGAAAATTTCCTTCCCTCTATTTTCTCTGCTCTCTTTATAATTCCTGTTAATATAAGGCATTTTACCTCCTGGATTGATCCGCTGTTTTTATCTTTTCTCCTCTGTTTTATGTTTTATCTCATTATCTTTTTGTTCTGATTTCTCTATGCTTTCTTCAGCTTTATCATCTAATCTTTTTTGTATGTGGGTTTTGTTTTGGTTTTGTTTTGTTTTGTTTTGTTTTGTTGTCACTCAGGCTGGAATGCAGTGGTGCGATCACAGCTTACTGCATTCTCGAACTCTGGGGCTCCCTGGTACCTGGGACTAAAGGTGTGTGCCACCATGCCCAGCTAATATTTATATTTTTTGCAGAAACAAGGTCTCACTGTGTTGCCCAGAGTGGTCTCAAACTGCTGGACTCAAGCAATCCTTCCACTTCGGTCTTCTAAAGTACCAGGATTATAGGCATGTGCCACAAGCCACAGTGCCCAGCCTTCTAGCCTTTTATTTACTTATTTTTTTTCTTGATATTTTGAAGAGCTTTTTTTTTCTCTGAATGTACTGACTTTTAAAGAATAATCAGAGCCTAGTTGATGGCTATAATCGTTTCTCTTGCTTTTTGAATACATTATAACGTATTTTTTGTTTTTGTTTTTGTTTCAGTTTCATGCCCTTACCCAGGCTGGAGTGCAGTGATGTGATGATGGCTCACTGCAGCCTCCAACCACTGGGCTCAAGGGATCCTCCCAAGTAGCTGGACCACAGGTGCATGCCAGTACACCTGGCTAAGTTTTTTACTTTTTGTAGAGACAGCATCTCACTTTGTTGCCCAGGCAGGCTGGTCTCACCACCTGAGCTTAAGCAATCCTCCCACGTCAGCCTTCCAAAGTGCTGGAATTACAGGCGTGAGCCACTACACTTGGCCTGTACTATAATTTTTAAAAATCTTTGTCTGTTTCCTATTTTCTCTTTCTTGTTAGAGGTTCTTCAGATGTCTTGATTTTTTTTTCTTTATTGAGATGGGGTTTCGCTCTTGTTGCCCAGGCTGGAGTGCAATGGCGCAATCTCAGCTCACCGCAACCTCCGCTTCCCAGGTTCAAGCGATTCTCTTGCCTCAGCCTCCTGAGTAGCTGGGATTAGAGGCATGCGCCACCATGCACAGCTAATTTTGTATTTTTAGAAGACATGAGGTTTCTCCACGTTGGTCAGTCTGGTCTCGAGCTCCTGACCTCAGGTGATCCGCCCACCTCGGCCTCCCAAAGTGCTGGGATTACAGGCTTGAGCCACTGCACCCAGCCTTGATTTATATTTTTAAGAGAGAAAGAGATGTTTTAAAAAATGACTTGAAGCTCTCTGTTACAGTATGGGCCAGGCTTGCTAGCCTGTAGTCCTCTCCGTAGAATAATAAGGCAGCCAGCCAGCATATGGGTCTTTTTTCTGAGTTGAGTTTTCCCAGAGGAAAAAAAAACATTTTTTTTTTTGTTCCAGAGAAAAATCTTGAGATTTCCTGTCTAGAGATGCAAGCTTGGCTGCCAGCGTCCTAAAAGCCAAGTGGAGAAGAGGATGGTAGGGTTGTGTGGGTGGGGATATGGGCTCATGATTCAGTGCGCGGACTTTGACAATCTCCCGCCTGTTTTCAGTGGATGAGAACAGTTACCTGGTTGAACTGGGTTAAGGATCTAACTCCTCTTAGAAACTTTGGGCTAATGCTCTATTTTTCAGCCCCATGTTGCACCCCCACTTACTGAGGCCTCCCCAAGCTCTGTGCCCTAAAGTGGCTGGCTTTCTGGGGGCTCCTCCACTGCACTCATCATTACTGTCTGCTTCCTTGCAGTGCACAGAATCACTGTCACTCACTTCATCTCTCATGTTTCCAGCTTCCCATTGCTCATGGTGTCATGAGTTTATCTTGCAAGTTTATCCACTTTTTCGTGGGAAGGGATCAGATGGATGTACAACTGTATGTTTAGTAGTCTACCATATTATTTATAACCTTCTGGCAAAAAGAAGTGCCCATAGACTATAGTAAAAATTATATTGAATGTGAAATATATATTTGAAATTAGAACATTTTAATTCAGTCATGCAAGGAGCTTGCCCTTTACTCTTATCATGTCCCCTATCTCCCAATTACGGTCTTTTCTTTGTGCCTCCTTCCCTGTCTCCATTATTAACATCACGGTGAAACTCCAAGTTTGAGGTAGAAGATTCACTTCCCCTAAGAAGTTTATACACAATGACATTTTAAAATGCAAAGATCCTAGGAGGATGTAACATTTAAGACCCTCAAGTACAAAATTCTTTAGTCAAATTTGAGCGCTCAAAATAATCCGTTAATCATCCTCTTGTCAAAGTTGAGTTCTTGCTTCCCAACTTTCCTTGGAAAGTCACAGTATTTGGTGGGTTTTTTGTTGTTTGTTTTTTGAGACAGAATCTCACTTTGTTGTGGGGTTTCACCATGTTGGCCAGGCTGGTCTGGAACTCCTGACCTCAGATCATCCATCTGCCTTGACCTCCTAGAGTGTTGGGATTACAGGTGTGGGTCACTGCGCCCAGCCTGTTTATTGCTTTTTGATGTGCATATGTGTATGTGACCATCTGACAGTGTTTTCGTTATTTCAACATTTATTATTAACATATCTCAGCCCAGTTTTTTTGTGTAAACTTTTAGGTGTTCTATAGCAATAATTGATAATCAGTAATCAGGCTAAATCTTCCCCAGCAAATCTCTAGATCCTGTGTCTCAATTCAGGTCTTGGGCCGAGCATGATGGCTCACGCCTGTAGTCCCAGCACTTTGGGAGGCCGAGGTGGGCAGATCGCCTGAGGTCAGGAGTTCAAGACCAGCCTGGCCAACATGGTCAAACCCCGTGTCTACTAAAAATATGCAAAAATTAGCTGGACATGGTGACAGGCACCTGTAATCCCAGCTACTCGGGAGGCTGAGGCAGGAGAATGGCTTGAGCCTAGGAGACGGAGGTTGCAGTGAGCCAAGATGGTGCCACTGCACTCTAGCCTGGGCGACTGAGTGGGATTCAATCTCTAAAAAAAATAAGAAAAAAGTTAGGCTTGTTGTCTCTTTGAGCTGATGTACCACTATCACTATAAGATCCGTTTCTAGCTTTTATTTACCTAGCTTTTATTCTACTTTTCTCAGTGCACTCAAGGACAAATTAAAATTACACTAACTTGCCTTTTATTTAATTTGACAGATGATGTTTCAATTGTCCAGGATACTTTGAGTCTAGTTTTATCTTACTAGGTTTTAGCAGATAGATGCATTCAGTTTTGGTCTTGCTTAATGAGCATGCCCTTAATCCTATCATGTAAGATAAAGTCACATATATTTCATTAGAGATCCATTTTGGCCTATGTATTTATCAGGTGTTTTGACAAGCACGATGTTATATTAAAATATTGGGAAGTCCTCAAGAGACATTGCTCCTCTCCCTGTGTCACACTACTCTGAAAATTGCCGAAAACTAGAACATTTCTATATTTAAAAATGGTGTTTACTTCCCTTCCTTTTTCCCTTCCTTTTTCCCTTCCCACAAGTGTGGGACTTGTGAATCTATTCATTTCAGCACAAGTCCCCTTTGCTTCTGTCCAACATTGACCACTGTTTGCCTTGGTATAATTGTGTATGAGAATCACAATGACCTCTGACATGAATGATATTACAGAGGTAATTGCCTCTGAATGGGTATGGATATAACTTGGTATGTACAAATCACCTTTGAGACATTAAGGAATGCCAAGGCGTGCAGGGATGTGACAGAAGGTAGATCTGGTGGCCATGGATCCCTTGAGGCTGGATAGCCCTACTAGTGGGGGAGTCGGGGAGTCTTTGCTTGTTCCCCTCTCATAGAAGGTGCCCCTCCCAAATTTTTCCAACCCCCCTTGGGAAACTTTTAATCTTTTTTTTTTACCTGACAGTATATGTTAACTGGTTTTAGGTTAATTTTTATTTTCTATTTTTATTTTTATTTTGAGATGAGTCTTGCTCTGTTGCCAGGCTGGAGTGCAGTGGCACAATCTTGGCTCACTGCAACCACCTCCTCGTGGGTTCAAGTGACTCTCCTGCCTCAGCCTCCCAAGTAACTGGGACTGCAGTCATGCACCACCACACCTGGCTAATTTTTGTATTTTTAATAGAGACAGGGTTTCACCATGTTGGCCAGGCTGATCTCAAACTCCTGATCTCAAGTGATCCACCTGCCTCAGCCACCCAAAGTGCTGGGATTACAGGCCTGAGCCACTGTGCCTGGCCAATTTTCTTTAAATTTCTGAATCAATATATTAAAGATTATATTTAGGGTTTTTTTTCCTTGATTTTTTGAGACAGGGTCTCACTCTGTTGTCCAGGCTGGAGTGCAGTGGCATGATCTCGGCTCACGGCAACCTCCGCCTCCTGTATTCAAGTGATTCTCCTGTCTCAGCCTCCCCAGTAGCTGGAATTACAGGTGCGTGCCACCACACCCAGCTAATTTTTGTATTTTTAGTAGAGACGGGATTTGAGGATGTTGGCCAAGCTGGCCTTGAACTCCTGACCTTAAGGAATCCACCCTCCTCGGCCTCCCAAAGTACTGGGATTATAGGTGTGAGCCACTGCACCTGGCCAGTTTAGGGGCTTATTTTTAATACAAGTTTAAATAATGGATAATTATTTACTTCCCCCATCTAACAGACTCACATCTTTCTTAAATTTACTTTAAATTGTGATGGAAAACATGATTTGGAAAATATAAAATAGATTGATTACATTATGAAAATGAAATCACATATTAAAACATCAAAACAGCCAAGTCAGAAAGGTAGGCTCTCTAGTTTAACTGTAAAATAGAGCCACCAGTCTACATGCTCTCTAAATTCTCAACTATATGTTCCTTGAAGGTGGTCATTTCCAGGGCCTGGCAAGGCCCCCATCCTGGTGAAGGCTCCCTTCAACTCCTGTTCTCTGCTCCTAACTCCAGTACCTCACCCCCACCCCTACCTGATTGTTCTTCCTCTGTGCTTGCTACAACTGCCCTTTCTCACATTCCCACACTCCCTTTCTCCATTCTCCTCTCCCTCCCAGCCCCCTCTCTCTGGCAAGCACTTGCTTTTTGTTACTTCTGCTGGGACCCATCTTCATTTCTCACTCTCTAGGCGGTGGCGCCCTGTTCCCATGGCTTTCAGTATATAGCAGAGACTTGTATCTAATTTACCTGTTTTTCTTAACACTGTGTGGTATATCTTTTTATATCACTGCATGATGACATTGACACTAAATTTCCAGAGAAAAGGTTCATTTTCTTTCAGGATTTCGTCCAAATTCTAAGGAATCAAGTGAAATTTTCAGTTTTGAATTTTATTGCATATATTACCTTACAGAATAAATCATGACAAATTGAAGGACTCAAATTTTACTACGATTTATTTCTTGACTTTTTTTTTCTCTCTAGAGGTAGGGGGATGATGTGGGGAGCATTACACTTGATTTTAAAGTAAAATTTATAAGGAGTACACGATTCTTTGGCCAAGGCTGGGCAAGGTGGCTTATGCTTGTAATCCTAGCACTTTGGATTACCTGAGCCCAGGAGTTTGAGACCAGCCTGGGCAACATGGAGAAACCCTGTCTCTACCAAAAATACGAAAATTAGCCAGTCTTAATGACCTAGTCTCAAAATAAATAAGTAGAGAAAAATATTCAAAAAAATCCCAAAGGACCATAAACAAAAATATTGATAAACAAGCCACAACACACAAGTTATTATATGTTAATTACTCATCCCTGGGATGTTAAACTAGTTATTGCTAATCTGTTAAAAGAGCTAACAGCAAATAGTATGTAAAAGCAGGCATCCCTTTCAATTCAACAAATATCTTGAGTCTCTACTGGAAAACCAGTTGAAATGTGAAGTTAAACTCCTGTCAGGGAACTTGCAGGGTGACTCAGCCTCAGCCTCGGCCCCTTAGCTGGTGTGTGGTTAGAGAAGCTCTATGTCAAGGCTTCTGAACTTCATGCAGGAAAGTTTGTGTGATTCTGCAGAAAGCAATGCCTTGCCGCACACAGGTCCTGCACTAGGGCTTCGATTTTTCCAAAAGATACGGCTTGCTTCATCCAATACTGTTTCAGGAAAATGGAGGTTCCTCCTCCGCACCCCAAGCCAAGGCCAATTTCGCGGGACCCTCAAGGCTTGCTACTGCAGATCAGATTCGTCCAATTTATTGGAAAAACGTATGAGAAGAGAAAATCAAGGCAGCTAAACACTTGCCCCGGAAGGTCCTGGCTTTTGCCGTTCTCCTCAACAGCTGTGTAGAGGGGAGGCCTGGGTGAGAGCCCCAGAGTCACACTGCTTCATATGAATTCCAGGACTTGTTGTTTCCTTGCGAGGTCACTAGCTCAAGTCACTTAACCTCTGTGCTTCACTGTCCTTACCATACAAAGTATGAAAACTGACAGCACCTACAGTAAAGAGGTATGTTAGGAGGATTAAATGTGTTGCTCTTTGGAAAGTGCTTAGAGCAGTGTTTGGCACATTTCAACAGTTAGGTGGTTTCAGAGGAAATGCAAGCTGCAGACTGGTGACCGCCCTCAGATGGTGTCCTCCCTCATTGTTGTCTTAGTAAAGATGTGTTCCTGTTAGCAAGCTCACTCAGTACTCTATAGCTTATGTTGTAGTTCCATCATAGTGCAGCTAGCTCATCTTGCCAGGGGTGTTCAGAACTTAATCTCTTTGAAAGTTGTCCTTGGTGGAAATAAAAACATTATCTCCTTTTTACTCTTGTTGGAAACTCAAGTTTGCTGCGGGGGGAAGGGTGGCAGGGTGTGAGGTATTTCAGGTGCAGTATTAATATTATGTCTTATGAAATAGCATCAGCCAACACGAACACACTCAGGAATTATATCTCTCAAAAGACAGAAGGCAAAAGGGAGGGACTAAAATCTACCTTGCATGTTAAGTAAAAGCATTAACATTCTAGTGAGATGACAAAGTTTTGATAGCGATTATCTAAAGCGAAAGAAAAGAATCTGCCTGGTAGTAAAGTTGGGTTTTTTTGGTTTGGTTTTGTTTTTTTTTTGAGACTGAGTCTTCCTCTATCCCCCAGGCTGGACCGCAATGGCACAATTTCGGCTCACTGAAACCTTCGCCTCCCAGGTTCAAGCAATTCTCCTGCCTCAGCCTCCTGAGTAGCTGAAGTTGCAGGCACCTGCCACCATGCCTGGCTAATTTTTGTATTTTTAGTAGAGACGGGGTTTCACCATGTTGGCGAGGCTGATCTCGAACTCCTGACCTCAACTGATCCGTCTGCCTCAGCCTCCCGAAGTGTTGGGATTACAGGCATGAGCCACCGCGCCTGGTCTAAAGTTGTTTTTTTAAGTAAACTTTTTAACATGTCAGCACTAAAAGGCCCAAAATAATTAAGAATTCTGAGTTTGTGTGGTGTATCCACAGAATGATTCAGGACAAATACTTCCCTATAGCATTCCACCTCCTCCCCTAAAACAGTGAATATACTGAGAATATGTGAACTCCAGAGGGCTTGTATTAGTCCGTAAAGAAATACCTGAGGCTGGGTGATGTATGAAGAAAAGAGGTTGAATTGGCTCACAGTTCTGGAAGCTGTATAGGAAGCATGATGCCTGCATCTGCTCAGCTTCTGGGGAGGCCTCAGGAAACTTACAGTCATGGAGGGAGGTAGAGGGGGAGCAGGAAGGCTTCTTGCATGGCAGGAGCAAGACAGAGTGAGGTGCGAGGTGTTGCACACTTTCAAACAACCAGGTCTTGTGAGAACTCAGTATCACAGGAATAGCACCCACATGATCCAGCCACCTCCCACCAGGCCCTGCCTCCAGCATTGGGTGCTACAGTTCAACCTGAGATTTGGTGAAGTCACAGATCCAAACCATATCAGGGATCTATTGTATTTGAAGGATTTAGCCTTTAATTTACGGGCAGTGCAAAACCATTAGTGATTTCTAAGCGTGTAAGTCACATGTACAGGTTTGTGTTTTATAAAGGAAACTCAGGAAATAAGTAGGGAGACATCAGAAGCAGACAGGTCATTCGAGAGGCTGTGGGATTAATTTGTGCAAGAGCTGGTAAGGACCGAGTATGTGGTAGAAACGGGAGTCAGAAGGATTGGATGGATCTGAGAAACGTTTTAGGGATTCAAAGTTGATAGACTTTTTTTTTTTTTTTTTTTTGAGACGAAGTCCTGCTCTGTCACCCATGCTGGAGTGCAGTGGCACGTTCTCGGCTCACTGCAACCTCCACCCCCCAGTTTCAAACATCCTCCCAGGCCTCAGCCTCCCAAGTAGCTGGGATTACAAGCATGTGCCACCATGCCGACTAATTTTTGTATTTTTTAGTAGAGATGGGGTTTGACCATGTTGGCCAGGCTGGCCTCGAACTCCTGACCTCAGGCGATCCACCTGCCTCCCAAAGTGCTGGGATTATAGGCGTGAGTCACCACACCCGGCTAAAGTTGATAGATTTTAAACACTGACTAGATGCAGCAGGTTTGGGAAAGTGAGGAGGCAGAGGTCAAGGATGAAGTTGAGGTTTCTAGCTCCAGCAAGTCAGTGGGCGAGGTGAGGGGTCATCAACATACCAATAACAGAAAGAAGGGTTGAAGAAAAGAAATTTAGGTTTGCGTTTAATATGTATTAGACAAGAAAATATTAGATATGAAGGCAGTTCAGCCTAATATACATGTTTAGATAAGTCAACACTAGATTCTAATACAGCATTTTAAATAACTGCTTGCTTTTTATTTAGCCTTTCAAATAGATGTAAACTGATAAATTTTTAAATCCAAATTGAAAGAAAGTGGAGAGAAAAATAGGAAATCATGAGGTCTGTGTCATGTTTATAAAAAAAAACCCAGAGAATCCCAAAAAGATACCAAAAAAATTTAAGCTATCATCATAATTATTCCTAAAATGTAATTGGAAGGGGAAACAGAAAGGATAACTTGCTGTTTGGGCTTTTTTTTTTTTTTGGACAGAGTCACTCTTGCCCAGTCTGGAGTGCAGTGGTGCGATCCCAGCTCACTGCAACCTCTGCCTCCCAGGTTCAAGCGATTCTCCTGTCACCACATCTGGCTAATTTTTTTTTTTTTTTTTTTTTTTTTTTTTTTGTAGAGATGGGGTTTTGCCATGTTAGCCAGTCTGGTCTCGAACTGCTGACCTCAGGTGATCCACTTGCCTTGGCCTCCCAAAGTGTCGGGATTACAGGCCTGAGCCACCACACCTGGCCTGTTTAGACTTTTAAAATAATTTTCCCAAGATACTGACAATGTGGTGAAAAACCAAGACTGTATTTAATTACACTGAGAAAGAGCACATGTCAAACATTTTTATGGGCCTGAAGAAAACCTCTCTGTTGTGCACAGTTGTACCCTATTTCCTCAGTTTCAGAATGCAGCCTCGTGCCTTTATGCACTGAATTGAGGCTAGGCAAAGTGCTACCACATGACTCTATGGTGAAATGGGCTCTGAAGTGGGAATCGTCGCTCTGCCCATAGGAAGGAGCAAGAAACATGGGAAAAGGCAGAAGAAAAGAAAAATTGGCCACAGGGTTTAGATGAGGTGCTGGCACCATCTGTGCTGGTCAGGGTTCCCATTTGAACTCCTGAGTCATGAAAAAGATTTACATATTATTTACATAAAGATAACAGTATTATTCTTATTGTAAAACTAATGGAACTGTTCGTAGAAGAATGCCGCAATCCTGATAACCCAACATATCTGACTCTTCTAGATTTTGTCCATGTGCTGATTATTTCACTAGATATAATAGTATAATACAGTTAGCTTCCCATATTCATGGGTTCTGCATTCTTAGATTCAATCAACAGCAGATTGGAAATATTTGGAGGGGGCAGGGCGCAGTGGCTCACGCCTGTAATCCCAGAACCTTGGGAGGCCAAGGTGGGCAGATCACCTGAGGTCAGGAGTTCAAGACCAGCCTGGCCAACACAGTGAAACCCTGTCTCTACTAAAAATACAAAAAAAATTAGCTGGACGTGGTGGCGGGCGCCTGTAGTCCCAGCTACTCGGGAGGCTGAGGCAGGAGAATGGCGTGAACCCAGGAGGCGGAGCTTGCAGTGAGCCAAGATCACGCCACTGCACTCCAGCCTGGGCGACACAGCGAGACTGTCTCAAAAAAAAAAAAAAAACTTGGAAAAATTCCATCTGTTCTGAATATATACAGACTTTTTTCTTCTTGTCATTATTCTCTAAATGAGAAAGTATAACAACTTTGCATAGCATTAGCTACATCATATTAGGTATCATACATAATCTAGAGATGGCTTAAAGTATACAGGAGGATGTGCTTAGCTTATATACAAATACTGTGCTATTTTATATAAGCGACTTGGGCATCCGTGGAGTTTGGTATTGGCAGAGGTCCTGGAACCAGTCCTCCATGGATGCCAGGAATGACTGTAATGACTGCTAACATGTACTGAATGCTTTCTAAGCACTATACGTGAATTACCACATTTAGACCTCAAACCAACCCTTTCTGGTGGGTCTCATCACACTCCAGGTGAGATTTGAGGTCCAGAGAGGAGCTTGCCCAGGATTCAAACCTTGTGAGTCTCCATCATCACAGTGTAGATACAAGTCTGTGTTGCTTTTTTTACTTTATTTTGTAATTTTAATTTTCATTCTAATCTGTGATTTCTTTTTTCTTAGTTTAGCGTGAGTATAATGTAATTTATTCAAGTACCGCACTTTTATTGAGGTGGTTTCCAGTTAATTTACTACTTTCTATGGAGCAATAAGCATTTTTATTTTTCGATTTAAAGAAAAATTTATGGCTGTTGAACTGCTAGGTCAAGAAGGGCCAACATTGTTATGGTTTTTGATAGGCATTGTCTTGTGGTTTAATCAACAAAGGGTCATAACAAGGCATGAGCATCCATGAGGACAGGTGAGCCTGTTTACTGCTACCTCAGTGGCATTGGACCTTCTTTTTAAACTTTTAGTTCCTTTTCATTTATTTTATTAGTGATATTAATGTTGTTCCCTGTTAATTTTGTGTTTAATGTCCATTAATTGTTAATTTGGAATTTTATTATTCTCAATTTGTTTTTCTGTACCTATTTCTCATAGCCTGAATCACTTCTCTGGAAAATTGAGATGTATGGAACTCCTTTCTTCAGGGGTGCCCCTAAATTAGGCATTAGTAGAGCTCTTAAAAAGTTTCTCATCCCAGCCGGGCACGGTGGCTCACGCCTGTAATCCCAGCACTTTGGCAGGCCGAGACGGGCGGATCACAAGGTCAGGAGATCGAGACCATCCTGGCTAACACGGTGAAACCCTGTCTCTACTAAAAATACAAAAAATTAGCCGGGCGTGGTGGCGGGCACCTGTAGTCCCAGCTACTCTGGAGGCTGAGGCAGGAGAATGGCATGAACCCGGGAGGCGGAGCTTGCAGTGAGCCGAGATCGCGCCACTGCCCTCCAGCCTGGGCGACACAGCGAGACTCCATCTCAAAAAAAAAAAAAAAAAAGTTTCTCATCTGTAAATTAGATGATGATAGAGGACTGTAAAGGATAAAACTAACTTTGCTGGAAATCAAGTAGCCTCCTTGGTGGAGGCTAAACTATTCCTGGAAGCTTTTGAGTTGATGTGGTTTTAAAGGAAGCAAATATTATGAGCTACCTAGCATCAGCCTTAGAATTGTGTCCTCATGTGTTGGTTTAGTAAAGATAACCCTCCTGTCTCTAAACTTATTGGTGGAAATTAAACTGAAGAGAAAATTCAGCCCTATCTGATGCTGTCCACGTAAACCTGGTAATAGTGGAGTGATTTTGGTTGTATGCACTTAAGAGCTGACACTTAATTTGAAGATGTTGGCAGCATACTGCTGTCAGTTAACGTGCCTTATGAAAATAGAATTGAAGAACTGCTACACAGGCAGATAGACAATACCAGGGTCAACAGAATAACAAATTTCCAGCCGAACTCAAATCTGAAGTGGTGCTAGTCCCTTCTGATGGACTAGCACCACCAGTGGGACCTGGGTGCCCTGACATTGTTCAGCGGTGGAGGCATTTCATCTCTGTTATGTGTTTCTCACGGAGCAGCTAGTGGAAGTTTCTAGTAAAATGTATATTCATCTAACAAGTCTCAGGCCTATTCATTGTGGCTGGCTCCCTAGGGGTGCCATGTGGTTCCAGACTTTGAAAGCTGTGATTGTGAACCTTAAATCTTAGTTCAGACACATGTCAGGTGAAGGCCTCTGGTTTGCTTGAAAGTTATTTTTGTTTTTTCATACAAAGCTGGTTGCTAGGATAATAGTGTAATTCATTAGGATAAGTGATAGGACAGTTCCCAAATTATTCTGTTTGCTTGTTTCTAGGTAGGGTTCTTTATTGAAGTAATAAAAATATACTAATGCTTTGAAAGGGCAACCCCTCAAAAATGAAATGTATTTGTTTGCTGATATAAGACTTTGTGTCTCCCTCCTCTTCAGAGAGCAGGCCTGGGCATTTTAATCCACTATTATTTGTGAAAAGCACATCGATTTAAAACCAGCTCACCTGTCACCTCATTCCCCAGGCAGCAAGTGCTGCCCAGCTGCACTCCCATTTTACCTGTTACACCACTTAGCACCCATGGGTCAAATCCCCCAAGTCACTCCAATAGTGGCAGGTCTGAGTGCCTCCTCACTGAGGGTAGGACAGACCTCTGAGACCTTACTGACTCAGCCTTCCCTTTGCAGGTTACACAGACCCAACAGTATTCAGAGCCTATGCCTCCCAGCACTTATGCAAATGCCCAGCTAAGCTGGAGCTGCTCTTGGGGTGACTACCAGCTTATCTGATTGTCGTCCTCACCAGATAGGCTCCCCAAGGGCTGAGTTGGCCCCAGAGCCCACCCTAATGCCTGGCATGGGGGGTGATCAGTGCAGGGTAAATTTGTGACTGACAGGTTCTTTAAGAGACACGTAGAAGCAATGTAACCTCCAGTGGGAAGAGGTGGGCCTTTGGATGCCATTTAAATATGTATGTTTAAAAGTATGTAATATTGAGCTGGGCATGGTGGCTCACACCTGTAATCCTGGCACTGTGGGAGGCCGAGGCAGGCGGACCACCTGAGGTCAGGAGTTTGAGACTAGCCTGGCCAACGTGGGGAAACCCCATCTCTACTAAAAATACAGAAGTTAGCTGGGCATGGTGGTGGGCACCTGTAATCCCAACTGCTGGGGAGGCTGAGGCGGGAGAATCGCTTGAACCGGGAGGTGGAGGTTGCAGTGAGCTGAGATCGCGCCATTGCACTCCAGCCTGGGTGACAAGAGCGAAACTCCATCTCAAAAAAAAAAAAAAAAAGTATGTAATATTGGAAATAATTTGTGAATATGCTGGTCAGAATTTTAATCTACGTATAAAAATTTAAGGAGATGTTAAAATGTGTTTTGGTAGTGAGACTGATTTTTGTTTTCCTGTTATAGTTTTGGGGAAAAAAATGATGAGAGATGGATGACCAGCAGCATTCTTAATTTCTTGTCCTTGTGGTTCTTTGTAAGGCAGAGGAACAGGTTTTGCCTTCATTATAGAGGGCATCTGTATGAGGCTTTGTTGTTCATGAGTTTCAGTGTATGTCTCTGGGGACAAAAATGTGAGTTGCCACTGGGTGAATGTAGTGCCACCTGAATGTTGAAAAACACAACTCCTGAATCACCACCAAACCTGTTCTTCCTCCAGGGTCTCCCAAGAGAACAGGTTTGGTGGGGATTCAGGAGTTGTATTTTGTTCATGTTAAGTCTGAGATGCCTCCTAGACATTGAAATGCACAATGACCATTTCAGAATGAAGGAATTTCCAGTGGATAGTTTTTAGCAGGTAAAAGCAGCCCCACCTTATGTTCAGTGAGCACTTGTGTAAGTGCTGGGAGGCATGGTCTATGGATACTGTGAGGTCTGTGTAAGTGTGGAGAAGCTACACCTAACTCGGCCAAAGGGAGGGCTGAGTCAGTAAGGCCTCAGAGGCCTGCCCTCCCCATGTGGCACTTGGACCTGCCACTACTAGAGTGACTTGGGGGGTTTGAAGCGTGAGTGGCAGGGGAAATAGGCACATGTCAAGAACCACACTCTGCTGCTTTGCCAGTCTCCTCCACCATGCCCTGTGAAACTCACAGTCCACCAAGAGCACTCTCTTAGTTCTCTGCTCTGAACAACCACTTTGCCTGGCTTTCTCAGTAACACCATCTACCGCTACCCCCGCCCCCACCCCACACTCTCCCAGGCAGAAGCAGAGTCATTAGTATTTAGCCCTCTCACTGTGGGCCAAGTGACAACTTGTTCCTTCACTAGGGTACATCAGGACAGGGATAAGCGTTAAGCATCCCTGGTAGAGACCTGAGGAACATTGTGCAAGGCGGCCGGGGTTGTTGATAGTATCTGTATCAACTACTAATGTTTTAGTTTCGCCTCCTGGCAGGGCGAGGGTTTTAGCAGTGCCACAGAAACCGTTCTTCATTGAAGCAAATCATCTCCCAATAATGGAATCTCACTAACTTGCTGACCCAGCATTCTGTTCTCTCAGACCTACCTCATCCCTTCCCACCTTTGGAAAAAAGCTCCATTTAAGGTGAATATGCCAACAAAAAATCTTGTTGCTCAGCTCCAGAAGATTCTCTGTTTAAGATCTTCCAAATTAGCTGTAGAGAACCCCAGGAAATGATCCAGCCACATAAAGACTCACTTTTCCCACGGACCCCCAAGGAGCTCTGAAACCACCAGCAAACACCCAGTTGTTGCCTTTAGCTCCTTAATTTGACTTGGGAACTCTGAAATCCCTTAGTCATTGGTGTATTTTCAGACAATTTCAATAATCTGACCAGTCCCATCCTCTACTTGTTGCTTTTTTCTAATCTCACTCTTGAAAGAAAAGTCATGTGATAGAACCACCTTTTATTATACGACCACCACACTGCCCAGAGACAAGGCCCAAAGGAGAGCACAGAGGCTCTTGAATTTACTGGACGGTCTTTGTTGGCAAAGAGTCATAATTATAGAATCTTTTAGGTCATATTTTATCCTTCATCCAGACATCTGTAGGAGTTGGCTTCTTGGGAAACTATAACATCACTTAGCCCCTAAGCTGAATTTCTTAACCTGTAAAATGGAGTTAATAACTGGACTGCCTTGTCAAGGTGTTGGATAAATGAAATCTGTCCTAACAATAGACACTTAAATCTTGGGCCTGGGCATGGTGGCTCACATCTGTAATCCCATCACTTCAGGAGGCTGAGGTAGGAGGATTGCCTAAGCCCAGGAGTTTGAGACCAGCTTGGGCAACAAAGTGAGATGCCATCTCTACAAAAAATAAATCAGCCAAGTGCAGTGGTATGCACCTGTGGTCCCAGCTACTAAGGAAGTAGAGGCAAGAGGATTCCTCTAGCCCAGGAATTTGAGGTTGCAGTGAGCTCTGATTGTTCCACTATGAGTACAGTGGCACAATCAAAGCTCACTGCAACCTCAAACTCTTTGGCTTGATGAATGAGTGACAGAGCGAGACCCTATCTCAAAAAAAAAAAAAAGTGTAGGTGGAGGAGGAGGAGATGTATTGAGGAATTATGCAGGATTTCTAAACTTGGTTATATTACTTCCAGATCTCTATTTTCTTCATGGAGACTCTTGGAGTTTCCTTTTCTTTTTTTCCTTTTTCCTTTTCTGTTGAAATGAGGATTGTACTCTTGCTGAGTATCTTCCTAATCTGGTAGGAATCTTCTGAAACAGAAATGTAGAAGAAAATTTCCATATCTATGAAGATGAATTGAACCAATAGTTCTAAAACTTTCTTGAGGATAAGAACCTGGGATGCTTCCCATTCAGTCTCTTCTGGGACAGTGTCCTCAGTCTGTGTTTTTTAACTCAAGCTTAGGACCATGCTGGTGCAGGTGGCAGAGTTACCCTTTGAGAAATGCAAAAATCAATTCTGAAAACTGAAGGTTCATAAGCTAGTCACAGATTTGGGTGCCAAAGTTTCCATTCTAGTGTGGACGTAGTTTTTCCTTCCAGTAGGTTTCCAGGAAGAAAAGGCCCCGGTTTGAGCATGACCTGTGGGAGTGACCTGAAATGAGATGTGAGACTATGTCTCATGTTGTTGCCAAATTAAATGACCCCACTGAAGCTTGGCTGAGAGGTGGCAGGGGCTGGCTTAGGATTTGAGGACCAGTGATCCTGTGGTAGTTTCATTGGCATTAGCTTCAGTATATCAAGATATCCTCGTTTTTGAAAGTTCCTTTCTGCTGGGACTCTGCTATTTCCTGAGCCTCCAGTGTCTGTCCTGTCAGGCTGCCCCTGCCTTTGAAAAACTTGCCACTTCCAGGAATAGGGTGGCTTTGCCTGACAATACCTCAACCTGTTTGAGAAGATGGACAGGCGAGAGCGTTGGTGAGATGGCAGTGGCTCCGGGTGCGAAAGAGGAAGGTAATATGAATGCAAGTAGGAAGAAAGGAGTAAAAATGAGAAAGACCTCCAGAGCCAAGTGTTTGGAACAGCTTTGGAGATTTCCGCTTCAGTATGATCTTCACAGATTTGAAATCTTGTTAAGGGAGTCCTATTGTGGCAGCAGGTTTGTCGTTTCTGCACTGAAACTGTAAACATTTCAGTATGGGTGCCTTGTGAATAAGCAGCTTCCAGTAATTGGCTTTCTGGAAGCACAGACCCAACTCCTGGGTAGGATGAGCCATGGAGAGAAGCAGCTTACACCAAGAGTCACTTCCCTGGAGTGTAATTTCTTTAAAAAGATGCCTTTTTAGATTCAGAAAGCACAAAATGTAATCATTTCTCTTTATAAGCTAATCCACTGTTTGAGCAAAGGGTAAAATAAAAATAAGCTAGTGCAAGACCTTGTGCAACTTCAATTTCAGTGTTTCAAACTATGTAAGTATTTCTCTCCCTGTACTTGAGAAAAAGCTCTTCTCTTTCTTCATCACAGGGCTGCCGCAGGTCTCCTACTCCTGCTGGGTTCAGCCTTTTCTCAGGTTCTCTGCTTTTATTCAGAGGAAAAGTGCTAATCAATGGCTTATACCTAGTCCTGGACTCTAGCACTCTGTGCCCTTCCTTTCTAATTTCTTAAAGGGCACAAGCTCCTTTTAACATAGGAAAAACTCCGTTAGACAAAATATATAAGGTTTTCAGCACAGTGGCAATTTTCTTTTGGGGCTATAAAAGAAACCCTCTGATTAGGATTATTTTAATGGAGTATATATAACTGTAGATAAGATAAAATGCAGGCTGGGTGCAGTGGCTCATGCCTGTAATCCCCGCACTTTGGGAGGCCGAGGAGGGTGGATCACCTTAGGTCAGGAGTTCGAGACCAGCCTGGCCAATATGGTGAAACCCCGTCTCTACTAAAAATACAAAAGTTAGCTGGACGTGATGGTGGGTGCCTGTAATCCAGCTACTTTAGAGGCTAAGGCAGGAGCATCACTTGAACCCGGGAGGTAGAGGTTTCAGTGAGCCAAGATCTCGTCACTGTACTCCAGCCTGGGCAACAGAGTGAGACTCCATCTAAAAAATAATAATAAAATGCAAACTGTGTTTCAGAAAAAAAGGCAAGTTTGGTTAGCACAAAGAAACATCATTAGTGACACCTGTGTTGGCCTTCTGAGTTATGAGACTTCATATTAACATTATAACAAACTACGTATACATTTTGTGCAAGAGAAAAATTACTAAACCAGGCCTTCTTGAGTAATGCTTTAATTTTCCAGAAGGGGGACATAGATTGGATTTAACTTAAATTGAGGCAAATGGATGTATTTTATTTGGGAAATTGTTTTTTGTTCCTCCTTTGTTTTGCCTCCATAAATTTATTAATGCAGAACCTGAAGGCTGTAAACCCAGGATAATTAGAGTTACAGTGTTACAGAACATTAAAAACCCACAGCAAGTGGCTGATATCTGCCTACCATATCTGCAGTTGAAGTTCATACCATGTGTGATAATTACGAACTTTCTTTTTTGTGGGCACCTTGGTAGAAATTATTAGTATCACCTGCCATATTTTCACATGTTACTTAAACATCAATAAAGTGTACATAGTAAAGCAGATAGCTGAGGGTGGGGAATAAGTGGTTAAATACTGTGTCTGACCTGTAAAATACGCTCTAAATAGACAAAAGGAACCCCTTTGTGTGGCAGCATAGCTGGGTTTGGTTTAGTAGCAATAGTAGATTGTTAGCTTTAACTCCTCCTGGATGTCTGTGCTGCTGCCCATAGCCTTGCAGACAAGCACAGACGGCCTTTGTAGTTTCAAGGGACCATCCATTCCACATGGGACTAGAGAGTAACAAAATGACTAGGGATCAGTGCTGGTACTTCCTGGGAAGTATGTGCAGGGTGTGTGTGTGTGTGTGTGTCAGTCAAGGTCTTGCCCTGTCATCCAGGCTGGAATGCAGTGGTGTGATCATAGTTGGCTGCAGCCTTGACCTCATGGGCTTGAGCAGTCCTCCTGCCTCAGCCTCCTGAATAGCTGGGACTACAGGGAGTGCCAACACACCCAGCAAATTTAATTTTATTTTTTGTAGAGACAGGGCCTTTCTTTGTTGCCCAGGCTAATCTTGAACTCCTGGCCTCAGGCAGTCCTCCCACCTCAACCTCCCAAAGTGCTGGGATAACAGACATGGGCCACCTTACTTGGCCCTGTTCAGGTTATTTTGCCCTGATCAGTGTCTTTAAGTAGCAGAAGATACCCCCACCGTGCCCTTTTTTCCCAACTGGGTATTATCCCCAATGTATTGTTGAGAAAATCAAGACTTAAATTAACTTGCCTAGGCTCCTGTACCAGTGAGAGACAGGGCCAAGTATAAGTTTCTTTTAGCCCTGCTGCTATTCCAGATCAGCAGCTTCAGTGGACAGCTCCGCTCCAGTGAAAAACTCCGAGAACTTCCTCTCCGCCCCAGCTTTCTCTCTTTTCCTTATTTCTTGTCTTTGTTTTTAGACTGCCTAAATTTGAGGTAAAAATCAAAAAAGATTTCTGATAAGGAATATCTGAATATAAGGAAGGTACACAGAGGAATTGTCAGTTAAACTAACTGGAACAGTTTCTTTGACTAGATTTGTCGTTGTTGTCCTCTACTTTAGGAGAAGTAAAATGATACGGAAAAAAAGCTTGCTAGCAGGGATTTATTTTAAAAAGCAAGTTTTAGGCTATGTCCTGGGATCACTTTGATAAAGCCTAGTCTCTTCCTCGTGTCTTACAAGAATACTCTTAATACAGAATCATAACTCTAAGACAACGGAAAACAATCAGTTTACTCAAAACCCTGAGCTATTTACTAAAGCAGGAAGATAGCCTGTGTTCTATAAAAGGTTTCTCGTAGTTACCCATAAAATGTCATTTGGAATTAAACCCATTCCTGACCAGTTGAGATTTTGCTCTCAGTCCAAAACATTCTCTTCTGTAAATGGAATCTTTCTAGGAGAAAGTAGCATTTAGAGCAGGTGCCACGTGTGTGCTCACCTCATCAGAATCCTGCTGTGCTGGCATCCAGAGGGCTCCCTGTCCACTGTGCTGATTTACACTGCCACACACTCAGGCTCACTGCAACACATCTCACAGACCCCCTGGCCATGTGTCAGCATCAAGTCCTGTCGGTTTTACCTTCGAAGTCTATGCTGCCTCTTGTATGCATTTCCACCACCAGTACCCAAACTCTTCCATATCATCCCTAACCCAGCAACAGCCATTGTTGGCCCTGGGTTCCTGCATATCAGCTTCCCACCCTCTCAGAGTTGTGCTCCACTGTGTTGGTTCCCTACACCCTGCCTGCTTGTCCCTCCACAAAGCAGTTTGTTCCCCTTCCCCCCAGGTAGCTCTTACTCACTCTTTATGACTCAGGTCAAGCTACACTCCCTCAAGAATGCTTTCCTGACTTCCTTAACTAGGTTGGTGGCATTAAGTCTGCGCTCTGAAGTACTGTTTACATCACTGTTTAAATTTTGCTTTACCCCCAGATCATTCTGTGAGCTCCTGGAGGGTAGACACTAGGTGAACTTTTGGCTCCCCATTTCAGCCCCTGCACACAGGCATGCAATAAAAATTTGTAGAATGAATAAAAAGAAAAGATTATTATACTTCTGAAGTCGATACCATCAACTCCTAAGGGAACTTAAATATCAAAGAAAAGAGCCCTGAGAATAAAAGGCACCTTGATCACACAGTGTCTTACAACCTTTAGAGAAACCTGCATGTCAAGGGGAAAGACCAGCCTGATCAAGTTCTTATTAATTTTCATCCAACCCATGTTTCTACTTTCTGGACATGCAGTTTTATGCTGTGGAATCAGGATTGACACATTAATAAGGCAAATTAAAAGTCCCAGAGAACAGCTCGTTAGGAAGTCAAACTGCCTTCTTCACATTCAGTAGAATAACTTACACTTTATGATTCTGAAGAAGCATGGGTCTGGTGTTTTTACTTTCGTTAGCCAAGGGTTACCTTCACATTATTGCAGAGGTCCCTTCCTCATAACACAGCTCACGGGTGAGAATCTGGATTTTTTTTTTTTTTTTTTTTTTTTTTTGAGACGGAGTTTCACTCTTGTTGCCCAGGCTGGAGTACAATGGCATGATCTCGCTCACTGCAACCTCCACCTCCCAGGTTCAAACGATTCTCCTGCCTCAGCCTCCCGAGTAGCTGGGATTACAGCCATGCACCACCACACCCAGCTAATTTTTGTATTTTTAGTAGAGACAGGGTTTCACTGTGTTGGCCAGCCTGGTCTCAAACTCGTGACCTCAGGTGATCCGCCTGCCTCGGCCTCACAAAGTGCTGGAATTACAGGCGTGAGCCACCATGCCCGGCCTGAGAATCTGGATTTTTTAAAGCAACAATGGCATAAAAAGAGGTATGTGACAGAATCTTCTGGAGAAAAGACCTCCTTCCCCAGCTGCGTCTTAGACCTACTAACTTCTCATTATTTGTTTGCTCAGTGTTAAAATGAGTAAGTCCATTGTATAAAGCTGTGTGTATTCTGAATATGTTCTTTATCTGCTCAAGATTGTGGCTAATTTCTGACATCCTCTGTTTGGTAGATGAAGTACAGAAAGACAAAGAAGGACATTCTTAATGAAGGAGAAAAGTCCTTTAATCCCAACCTTTCTAACCTGATGGAAAACATCATAACTTTACTATAAACTGCAGACAGGCTGGTCCCACCTTATGGGCACAAAGACATCGGAAGGGAAATAAGGGAACGGGCTTTCTTTGTGGATCAAAACAGAATCCAAGGATGTAGCTGTTAGATGCCGCCAAAACGGCCACACTCAAGAGATTTGGACCTGGGTCAGGCTTTCTGTGCGTTTTGTACCACTTCTGGGGCCAGCTACCACCCAACCACCACTCAGCCACAGAGACACTTATTACAGGTTTATAATTTGACTTGAAAGGTTTTCCCAAAGAAACAAATACTTGTCAGGATCTGTAGCAGAGCCATGTTTTGATTGGGGCTTTTATGGGAGGAGAATGGTGATCTAAATATATAATTTTATTTCAAATTATGCTTGAAAGATGATCAGATTAAAGAAAGTTTGTGTGAGTGTTTTCATGGGCTTGTATTGGAGGGAAGCAGATGACTGGGTCCCAGGAGGCAGAGAAGATGAACTATTGGGCCCTAAGTGTGTTGTAAGGAATAGTACCATCTGTTGGACCTAAGATCCACATGGCAGCAGAGGGTCCAGAATCAGCCACAGCAGATTATTCTAGATTAATGTGAGTAGGGACAGGTTTGGAGAAGTATGGCTAGGAGCACCTGGCAGGTGACTCTGATGCAGGCAGCAAAGGAGTCATTGGTTTCCAGGTCTGCTCTCCACATAACAGAGGGCACTGTCTGTAGAGTACAACAGGCAAGCCTGTGAGGCGGTTTTTCTCATTCTAGTTGTGCTCAATATGCCATTTTGGGGCAGTTTTCAATGCTTTCGAAATCCTGCTAGAATTTAATTTGTATGCAGTTGTGTGTCATTATTAGTCCCCATTTATTTAACATCTTTTCTTGTAATGCAAAATGCTTTAGAAAGCTTTAAAAATAGTTTTAGTTTGTATTGGTCCCAGATAGGAGAATTGAGAGGGGAGATACAATGAAAGTAATAGTAAATAGTAGCTAAGAAGTGAAGTGTCCAGAGACTTGGCCAAGAACTGACCTTCCACACCGTCGGAGATGAAACATTACTGAAACATACAGCAGCTAGACTTACCAAAAAAACGACCAGCAGCAGGTGTCCAGACCCATGCAGGGTCTGCTTGTTTAAGGCAGATTGTAGGAGAGAAATTACTTAACAAAAAATTAACTTTAAACTGTTTGTCTTAATTTAATAGACTGTACTTTGTATTATATCTGATTTTGATATCAGTAATTGCCAAAGTATGACAGAGATGAATGTATGTTTTATGTAATTTTTATTTAAAAGTTCTAATAATTACATAACTTTCTAGTTTGTAAAACACTTTTATGGTTATTTTACACAGCAGCTTTAGGCAGAAGGCAAAGCAAATACTGTTATCCCCATTTTACAGATGATAAAATTGACCTGGTGACTTTTGGCTTTCACACGTGTGCTGACACCCTCAGTTTTTTTCTCCAGTAGCCCTGTGCTGCATCATACCTGGACAGTATGCACATTAGACCAACCACATTTATTCTAAAAAGCTAGTCAAGCCTGGAACTTTTGTCTTAAGTACACACAATTAGCCCTTAGCCAGTGAGTGGCTGGCTGATGTTTCATACTGACATCATAATTGATTAAGTGTGTATTTAATGGATTCAGTTTCTGAAACTGGCACTTTTGCCGGAGCAGCTGTAGGACATAAGTGCAGATTCTAAATCCATGTACCATAACTTGAGTAGCACTGAGTAAATGGACCTGAGAAGAACTGGACAAGTCTCTGTCCCTCTGAGGTTGACTGGGAAGCCTTGGTGGTACTGGGCCGTGGTGCAGGTCCCAGAGGCTGGTGCCAGAGCCCATTCCCTCAGTCTTTGTGTTAATGGCAAGTTAAAGGTTCTCCAGCCAGTCTCATGAGCTTTTCATGAAGAAACGTAAGGAGATCGTCTAGCTCTAAGGAAGTAAGGACCAAAACACCTAGGGCTATGTATGTATTGCTTTGGCTAACACTTTGAAGTAGTCTTTAAGAAGCTTGATAGGATGCAGAGTTGCATCAAAGAAATGCTCACAGGGCCTTGAAGGGTAGCTCCTTGTATGTAGCCCATCTAGCTGCCACGTAGTTGGCATTGATAGCTGGGAGGACAGCGGCTTCCATCCTAGATGTAGGAGGCATAATTAAAAGGACAAAAAACTTTTTGCTGGTGGCCAAAAATGAACACATACCTTGTTCCACATTCTCCAAGCTCCACCAGCATCAGTTTTGTAACTCATTGAAGAGTATCCTCATTAGTTGTCTTCAGGCTCTCAAGTTTGTCAGACATTGCATTCATTCCATCAGCCCACATTTACAGTGCCTATGGTGTGCCAGTCCTTGGGGGGTGCAAGAACAAGTCTCACAGTTTAGGGGAGATGGACAAACATGAGTAAGTAAATATTGTGAGCATGAGCAGAAGTGTGTGCCATGCTGGATAAGAGCCGTCTTAGGCACAGTAGTGGAGGGTAATCTGCAAGGCTTGAACAAAACCAGTTGTCATCAGTGTGCTATAATACTACTGTGACCCAGTTGCTTTGGTGTTCTGAGGCTGCTCTGAGATGCTAATTAAACAGGATGATGATTCAGGTTGCTGTTATATCTCATAAGAAAGAGCCTTTCTGTGAATGAGCAGGCATCAGGCTTGGAGAAGGCTCCCTTAAAGCTTCCCTCAGATAAGGATTAAACAACGCTAGTTGACTCAGTCCTTGCAGTTTGCTACCTCAAGTCAGCGAGCCCTGCCTCTGAGACAGTGACAAAGTCTGGTGAAAGGTTCAAGCTCTGTATCTGGGCCACTTTCCGTTAAAACATGTCCCAAAACTAATAATACCTTTTATAATTTATTTCCCAAGTTTAGAGTATCAAAAAATGTGAGGTTCTTATTAGAGTTCTTTAAAAATAGTTTTTATTCCCTTCCATAATAAAAAATTTACTATTAAAAGATTTTGAAGTTTGGGCCATTCCTTATTTTTAAAATGTGTCTTAATTTAGAAATCATGCTTGGAGCCCCCAATGTGTCTCATTCTTCCTGGGGAGCAGTATTGTATGGACTTACCTCTGCTTGGAGTGAATGTAGTAACACTGTGGTCAAAAACAAAGGACATTTAGCTGTGCAGTGACTTTAATATATTATTTGTAGCATAGGAGGATGATAATGCAAATAGCTACTCCAGGTAAAAAGTATAGAATAAAAATTTAATTAGAAATTGTACTGGCCTGGGTATTGATTTTTGGGTAGAAGGGAAAACCTTACACATGGAAGATACTATAGATAAGTATTTATATTCTATCTTTGGCACCTGGCACCTAGAAAGTACTTTTCAAATGTTGGATAGTTGAGTGAATGAAGGGGGCTAACAGGCGTCATGGTATGGTATGAAGAAAGTTGAACTTGGGGTTCAGAAGAAAAAGAGGTAAAGTTCTAAGTTCTCTTACTAGCTATGTGATCTTTAGCAGGTCACTTTGCTTTAGCCTCTTGTTTCTTCTACAAGAAAAACAGATGTCGAAGACAGACCCAGAGTTCCTTCTTTATTGATCTCCTGATGTCACAATTTGCCTAGTGAAATTGTAGGTTTCACTAGGCAAATTGAGGGAGAAATCTGTTGCATTAAAGAACCTAAGGCCAGGTGCGGTGGCTGATGCCTGTAATCCCAGCACTTTGAGAGGCTGAGGTGGGCAGATCACCTGAGATCAGGAGTTCAAGACTAGCCTGGCCAACATGGTGAAACCTCATCTCTACTAAAAATACAAAGATTAGCTGGGCGTGGTGGCAGGTGCCTGTAATCCCATCTACTCGGGAGGCTGAGGCAGGGGAATCGCTTGAACCCGGGAGGTGGAGGTTGCGGTGAGCCGAGATCATGCCATTGCACTCCAGAGCGACAAGAGCGAAACTCCATCAAAAAAAAAAAAAAAGAACCTAAAAGGAAAATGAACAATCACTTGAGAGTCTTGGGAAATCCCCGTGTATTAGTTTTCTATCATTGTCATAACACCTTACCACAAACTTGTTAATACAGTTCTGCTTACAGTTCTGTAGGTTCAAAGTCCAACACAGGTGTCTTACTGGGCTGGAATTGAGGTGTGGGCTGGGCTTTGGAAAAGTCCAGAGTCTTAGGGGAGAACATGCTTCCTTGCCTTTTAAAAATTCTGCAGCTGCCGCCCTGTCCCTTCTCCCATCTTCCAGGCCAGCAGCATTGCACCTATGACCCTGCTGGCAAATCATCAGGTCTCCCTGAAGCTGACAACTGTAACTCCCTCTGGGGGGGAATCGTTTGCTTTTATGGGCCTGTGTGATTAGATTGGGCCCACCTGGATAACCTAGCATATTCTTCCCATCTCAAGGTCCTTGACTTAATCTCATCCACAAAGTTGATTTTGTATATATAAGATCACAGGTTCTTGGGATTCTGCCTACCATATCCCAAGATCTGATTGCTCTGTAGGAGACAGAACACTGAATGGCTCTCAGGAAACCAGTAATCCAGTAATCCTAGCTCACCCAGTCATTGTGTCTCTCTGGGTTTCTTTTTTCCGCATCTGAAAAGTTGGGGAGTTGAATTAGACCAGTGGTCCTCAAACTGCATTGTACATCAGAATAGCCTGGAGGACTTCTCACAACACAGATTTAGGTGGGGCTCAAAAGCGTGCATTTCTGCCAAGCACAGTGGCTCACGCCTGTAATCCCAGCACTTTGGGAAGCCAAGGCAGGTGGATCACTTGAGGTCAGAAGTTCAAGACCAGCCTGGCCAACATGTTGAAACCCCGTCTCTAGTAAAAAAACAAAAAGTTGCCAGGTGTGGTGGTTCATGCCTGTAATCCTAGCTACTTGGGAAGCTGAGGCACGAGAATCACTTGAACATGGGAGTCGGAGGTTGCAGTGAGCCAAGACTGTGCCACTGCACTCTAGCCTGGGTGACAGAACGAGACTCTGTCTCAAAAATAACCCAAAAAACAAAACTGCATTTCTGACAAGTCCCTGAGTGTTGCTGATGCTGCTGTTCCAGGGGACCACACTTCAAAAACCACTGAACTAAACTGTCTTTAAGGATCTTTCTCTAAGTCCCTAATACAGCCTGAGAGTCTTTCCCCTTTGGATGCAATGTTATAAATTAATCATAGTGGAGTTTGCACACTGCTTGCCAGGTTGTGGAGTTGAGGTAGGAAGCAAATGGACATTGTTCAGATCTAAGCTCCACGTCTTCTCTTTCCTCTTGTAAACCGGGATGGTGATGAGGCCTGCTGTGTGGTTGCTTTTCATGAGATGGTCTTTGTAGATTATCTAGCATATGTCTGACACATGGTCATCTTGGGTCACATTTACTTAGCACTTTTGACCCAGCCACTGTTTTAAGCCTGAATTAATTCATTTAACCCTTATGACATTTCTATGAGGTGAGTGCTATTATTAGTCCCACGTCTGTAGGTTGAGGAACAGAGGTTAGGAGTTTGGCCAAGAAGGCAGAGCTAGAAAGTGGAGCCACTTACCAGGCAGTTATTTAGGTTCCAGAGCATGCATACTTAACCCTTCTACAGCAGCACCCAAGTTTCCTGTAACAAGGCTAGAGGTGGCCTGGTCCTGGGTTTGGGTGATTTAGTGCTTGACAGTGTCATGGTAGGCCCAGGTCTCTCCATCTTGCCACTCTTCTGTCCTCAGCAGGCTGGCTTTGTCTTCAGGGCTGTCCCCTCATGGTGATACTGTGGCTGCCACAGATCCCACTGTCTAATCCTCACAGAGGCTGCGCAAGAAAAATTACCTGTTCCTCCCTCTTGTCTCTTTTTGAGAGGGTGAAACTTTCATGCTTGTAATCTTAGCACTTTTGGAGGCTGAGATGGGAGAATTGCTTGAGCCCAGGAGTTCAAGGACAGCCTGGGCAACATAGTGAGACCCTGTCTCTACAAAAACATTTTTTGAAAAAGCTGGATGTGGTAGCACACACCCTGTAGTCTCAGCTACTCGGGAGGCTGAGGTCAGGAGAATCACCTGAGCCTGGGAGGTAGAGACTGCAGTGAGCCATGATTGTGCCACTGCACTCCATCCTGGGTGACAGAGCAAGACATCGTCTCAAAATATATTAAAAAAAAAAAAAAAAAGGTTGGGGGGAGTGCAAAATGTTTTCAGAAGCCCTTTTTCCTGCAGACTTTCCTACCAGAAATGCTTGACCATACCCATTCCTAAATGGCCACCACTCACTGTGATTCATCCCCCAGGGTAGGGAGGGCCATATCTTCGGGCCTCTTGAGTAAGAAAGTGGCAGCAGGAGGCCAGATGCGATGAGGTCAGGAGTTTGAGACCAGCTTGGCCAATATGCAAAACCCCATCTCTACTAAAAATACAAAAATTAGCCTGGCGTGGTGGCATACGCCTGTAATCCCAGCTACTCAGGAGGCTGAGGCAGGAGAATGGCTTGAAACTGGGAGGCAGAGGTTGCAGTGAGCCAAGATTGCGCTACTGCACTCCAGCCTGGGCGACAAAGCAAGACTCCATCTCAAAAAAAGAAAGTGGCAGCAGACATGGCTGCAGGTTGGCCACCGATGGACTACCCACACTCCCTTCTCTGAAGTTGATAGTCCTTTTGATTCTGAGATGCTCTGTGGCACTGACAAAGGTCGACAGAGTCTAGGGCTACTAGAAATGCTGTGAACTTGTCCTTGGTTTACTCCAGACCAAATGATCTTTTCTCTCTTAACAAGGGTGCGAGGGCACATGATAAACATTTACTGATTATGGGCACCCAGAAGGACCTTGATCTTCTGAGAGCAGGGCAAAGCTTTTGAAGGACTAATCTCTTCCAGCCCTTGTTCCTACCTCTTTTGTCTCTGGAGGATGCCAGAGATGATCATCCAGAATCTCAGCTCTGACCTGGAACAAGTTATTTTCCCTTTGGTGTCTCAAGAGTTTCACGTGAAGCATTAGGAGTGCCTGCCAGGTGGAATAGTGCAGAGGGCTGGATGAGATCATTCAGTCTGAGCGTGGCGAGCGCTTGGGCTTTGCTGTTGCTGGCGTTAGTGTAGTTTTCCATCAGTATCTGTGTCGGGGGCCTGAGCCAGCTCAGTGTAATTGCTTAGGGAACACTTTTATTTTTCATAGAAGCAGGAACAAGTTTCTGTCTCTTCCAGCTAGTCTTGCTGGTTGTGTGCCTCTGCTATCTGAAGAGCCAGCATCCTTAGTAGGGTCACATGTGGTTGAGTTTTATGAATGTGTTTGTTGCTGATAGGACACATTTCTTACCTGACAGGATGAGCACTCACAGCAGCCACATCACAGGGCTGACAGAGATGTGCCCCACTTTAAGAAAACCTGACCATATAAGGAGGAGTGTCTCAATTACAAAATAATGTCTCACTTAGCCAGAAATTCATGGCAGGTTTTCTGGTGCATTTAAAATAAGATTCATGTATAAAAATACCATTTGCACACAGGAGCCCATATTTTCTGAAAAGGGAAATGTATTGGGCATTTGGGGTAAGTAGATCAAAAATAAAAATAAAATCTTCTTACAAATACAAGAACTAGAAACCAAATTCCACTTCTAATTCTAAAAGGTTTATATATAACTCTACTACCTTACCCTCTCTTACCCCAGATTTTCACAGCAGAAGTAAACAGGGAAGATCTGCAGGCCGCTCACGATAGCAGCAAGGAAATGCCTGGCATAGTGTGTGGGTGGGTGGATGGCGGGGGTACCAGAGGCAGGGCTGGGGACCCCACTCTGGCATGTCCTTTATGACATGGATTGCTCATCTCACCCTGCTGTATTGTTGATTTGAGAACATTTGTGAGGCTTGGTCTAAAACATTATTGCTGGATCCCTTCCCATGGTGTGGTCAGTGAATGGCATTTAGAAATTGACCAGCTCATCCTGCCACCACGGACTCCTCTAACCACAGAGACACGTGCTGAGGTCTAACAGATGGGGACCAGGGAAGGCCTGGAGGAGAGGGCCAAATCTGGGATACTGACATGCCTGACTTTTCCCTTCCTTTCAGAAATGTTCCCACTGCCAGGAGGCAGGCGCCACCTTGGGCTGCTACAACAAAGGCTGCTCCTTCCGATACCATTACCCGTGTGCCATTGATGCAGGTAAGAGGAGACCACAGACCCTTGTCCAGAGCATCCAAAGGATTAGGACATACAGTTTGATTCTCTCTGTTGTCGTTGTTTTTTTTCTTTTCTTTTCTTTTTTTTTTTTTTTTTTTTTGTCACTTCATAAAAAAACTTCCCACCCATTAGCAGCACTCATCTCCCTTCCCTTCCCTCCAGTCCCTGGCAACCACTATTCTGTTTTCTTTTTTAAATTTTTATGATTTTTTTTTCCCTTTAAGCTCTGTTGGACTCAATCCTTTCTATCTCTGTGGGCTTTGCTGTACATTTGGGTTACTTCCACTTTTTGACTGTTATGAATAATGCTGCTATAGAACATTCACATGCAAGCATTTGTGTGAACATGTTTTCAGTTCTCTTGGATGTGTACCTGGGAGTAGAATTGCTGGATCATATGGTAACTCTGTTTAACCTTTTAAGGAACTGTCAGACTGTTTTCCAAAATGGCTGCCCCATTTTACGTTCTCAGTGGCAGTGCATGAGTGTTCTCCTTTCCCCAGGTCCTCCCTGACACTTGCTGTCATATGTGTTTCTTTTTTTTTTTTTTTTTAATTGTAGCCAGCCCAGTGGGTATGAAATGTTATTTCATTGTGGTTTTTATTTGTATTTCCCTGATGGCTAATGTCGAGCATTTTTTTCTTGTGCCTATTGGCCATTTGTACATCTTCTTTGGAGAAATAGCTATTCACATCCTTTGCCCATTGTAAAATTGGGTTGTTTATCTTTTTAATGTCAAGTTTTAAGAATTATTTGTAGGCCGGGCGGGTGGATCATGGGGTCAGGAGTTCAAGACCAGCCTGGCTAAAATAGTGAAACCCCGTCTCTACTAAAACTACAAAAATTAGCCAGATGTGACGCGCACCTATAGTCCCAGCTACTCGGGAGTCTGAGGCAGGAGAATCACTTGAACCCGGGAGGCAGAGGTTGCGAGATCACGCCACTGCACTCCAGCCTGGGCAACAGAGTGAGACTCTGTCTCAAAAAAAAAAAAAAAAAAAAAAAGAATTATTTGTAATTCTGGATATGTGGTTTGCAAATGTTTTCTTCCATTCTCTGAGTTGTCTTTTTACTTTCTTTTCTTGATAGCATCACACAGGTAATTCACCATTGGACACCAACTGGGTGTCCTATAGTTTAGCTTGGTTCTGATACTAAGCAGAGTTAGTGCAGCCCCTACAGGTTAAGGGCTCAGTCCCACAAGACCGCTCCCCACTTCATATACCAATCTCAAGCCCTGTGTTATGACCTGTGTTTCTGAGTGATCAACTATAAACTGGGGTTCCCAAGACCGCTTCCTTGGGTTTGATTAATGTTTAACATGGCTCACAGAATTCACGGAAACACTTCACTTGTGTTTACCCATTATAAAGGATGCAGATGAACAGCCACATGAAAGAAACATAGGGCCAGATGTGTGGGCAGGGGCATGGAGCGTCCATGCTCTCTCCAGGGGCACCACCCCTGAGGCACCTTCATCTACTCAGCAGTCCAGAAGCCCTCTGAATCCAGTAGTTCACGGATTTTTTGGAGGCTTCATCATGTAGGCATAATCAATTATTAACTCAATCTTCACCCCCTCTGTCCTTCCTGGAGTGGGGTGGGTAGAGCTAACAGTTCCAAGCTGCTAATCACAGCTTCGTCTCTCTGGTGCCCAGCCCCCATCCAGGAACCACCAAGAGTAGCCTTAGAACAAAAAGTGCTCCTATCCAGGAAATTCCAAGGGTTTAGGAGCTCCATGTCAGGAACCAGGATCAAAAACCAAATATTAGAAGAAAAGATGCTCCTAGCACCCCTAATTGCTCAGGAATTTACACGGGTTTTAGGAGGTCTGTGCCAGGAATCAGGGATGAAGACTAAAATATGTATTTCTTACTCTAAATCACAGTACGTTGTATACATACAATAGAGTGTTGTATTTTCTTTGCTGAGATGATAGGGGGATGTTTTGCAGTGTGTTAACTGTTGAAAGAAGGGAAACATTTTGTTAAAGAAGTGCCATCCAATGAGTGACGCAGAAGACTTGAGTTTTGACTCAGAGCTTCGATAACCTGGGAAAATCACCTTTCTTACTCTAGACTTTTAGTCCCTTCAGTGGGTGTTTTCCCCAGTTACTTTTTTGGCGGCAAGGTGGGTGTTAATTTCAAGTTTATTAAGTTTTTTACTTTTCTTTTTGAGACGAAGTTTCGCTCTTATCGCCCAGGCTAAAGTACAATGGCATGATCTCAGCCCACTGCAACCTCTGCCTCCCAGATTCAAGTGATTCTCCTGCCACAGCCTCCCGAGTAGCTGGGACTACAGGCGCCCACCACCATGCCCGGCTAATTTTTGTATTTTTAGTAGAGACGGGGTTTTGCCATGTTGGCCAGGCTGGTTTCAAACTCCCGACCTCAGGTGATCCACCCACCTCAGCCTCCCAAAGTGCTGGGATTACAGACGTGAGCCACCGCGCCCAGCGTTTTTTACTTTTTTTAATGGACAGTAATTGTAGATATGGGGTGCTCAGTAATGTTTCAATATATATATAAAATGATCAGACCTAGGTAATTAGCAAATCCATCGTCTCAAACAACATGTCTGTGTTGGGAACATTTGGTATCTTCTAGTCATTTGAAACTATACAATATAATGTTGTTAACTGTGGTTATCCTACAGTGATACAGAATACTAGAACTTATTTCTCCCATCTAGATGTAATTTTGTATTCTTTAACAAATCTCTACTTATCTCTTCCTTTCCTTTCCCCTTCCTGGCCTCTAGTATCCTCTGTTCTACTTTTTAATACTTCCGTAAGATCAGCTTTTTAAATTTCCACATGAGCGAGAACATGCAGCTTTTAACTTTCCGTGCCTGGCTTATTTCACTTGACATAATGTCCTCTAGTTACTTGAGCATTAGATGTATCTAAGACCATCACCCAGGCAGCCCCCATAATGCCTGTGGTCACGTTTGAGGAAAAGTGGTGAGAGAAGGCAGCAAGTAGCATGGTGCTTGTCATGTGCATGCCCCCTCTCTGTGCTTCCCCAGGAGAGAAGCAGGGCTGTCCACGAAGGCAGCCACGCTGTCCATAGGAGGCGGGGTTTGATTTGAATTTGATGGGAAGGGGAAGAGGGCGTGGCTGACTGCATGATGGGAACAGGCGTGAGGCATAACATACACAGAGCAGGGCCAACAGACTTGGATCAGGTCTCAGAATTCATCCTGCCCCCCCTTCCTTCCAGCGCAGCAGTTGTTTGCAGCTCCTGACTTTTGTTTAAGCATATGTCTCCATTCCTTTCACATCCTTCTTGCCCTTACCTCCCCCTTCCCTCTTTTCTCTCCAAGCTTCTGTAGGAGAAACAGTTAAAAAGAACAAGAGAGGTAGAGAAGATAATGCTGATGCCAGTTAGACTATTACAAAAGTGTGTGTATTCACACGTACATGTGGACTGAAAGGCAGCTTGATGGCCAAGGCACTATTTGATCAACGGAAAGATAGGGAATCAGAAACAGAGTGCCAGGTGTGGTGGCTCACACCTGTAATCCCAGCACTTTCGGAGGCTGAGGTGGGAGGATTGCTTGAGCCCAGGAGTTCGAGACCAGCCTGGCCAACATGGTGAAACCCTGTCTCTACAAAAAATACAAAAAATTAGCCAGGCGTGGTGGCCCTTGTCTGTAGTCCCAGCTACCCAGGGAGGCTGAGATGGAAGGACCCAGGAGGGGCTGCATGACCCTCAGTTGGGCCACTGCACTCCAGCCTGGGCAACAGAGTGAGACCCTATCTCAAAACAAAAATGAAGTAGCCTTGAAATGTCAGTTCAGGGAGTTTGGGTTTTAGTCCATCCCTTCTGTTCTCTTTTTTCCTCCAAATGTTTTCATGTTGAGTCTAAGGTGTAATTTACCCTGGGTCATGGTCTGCCATATTCTGTAGTACAGCTGTTAAATCCTTCTCTTTCAAGAGCTAACCAGTTGGGCCAGGCACGGTGGCTCACACCTGTAATCCCATCACTTTGGGAGGCCGAAGTGGGCGGATCACAAGGTCAGGAGATTGAGACCAGCCTGGCCAACATGGTGAAACCCTGTCACTACTAAAATATGAAAAATTAGCCAGGTGTGGTGGCGCGTGCCTGTAGTCCCAGCTACTTGGGAGGCTGAGGTAGGGGAATCGCTTGAACCCGGGAGGTGGAGGTTGCAGTGAGCTGAGATCACGCCACTGCACTCCAGCCTGGCAACAGAGCGAGACTCTGTCTCAAAAGAAAAAGAAAGAGAGCTAACCAGTTAACTAGGTATGGTGGTTCACACCTGTAATCTCAGGTACTCGGGAGGCTGAGGCTAGAGGATCACTTGAGGCCAGGAGTTCAAGTTCAGCCTGGATAACATAGCAAGAACAGGTCTGTTCAAATAAAAATAAGTTTTTAAAAGAGCCAACCAGTTGCCTTTTCTCATTTTCATTACCTCTAGTTACATCGTAATATTGTGTTTTCTTCCCTGTAGTCTAGTGGCCAGGAAAGAGGGGGAGCAGTAATATAAAGTTTTGTTTCTAGTTGAAAAAAATGGCTTTTTTTTTTTGTTTTTTGAGACAGAGTCTCGCTGTGTTGCCCCGACTGGAGTGCAGTGGCGCGATCTCGGCTCACTGCAAGCTCCGCCTCCCGGGTTCACGCCATTCTCCTGCCTCAGCCGCCCCAGCAGCTGGGACTACAGGCGCCCGCCGCCACGCCCGGCTAATTTTTTCTGTTTTTAGTAGAGACGGGGTTTCACCGTGTTAGCCAGGATGGTCTCGATCTCCTGACCTTGTGATCTGCCCACCTTGGCCCCCCAAAGTGCTGGGATTACAGGCGTGAGCCACCGCGCCTGGCCAAGAAAATGGCTTTTAAGTGAAAAAAAAAAAAATTTTTTTTGAGACAGGGTCTCACTGTGTTGCCCAGGCTGGACTCAAACTCTTAGGCTCAAGCGATCCTCCCAACTAGCTGGGAATACAGGCATGTACCATTATGCCCAGCTATATATGAGGATTTTTAAGTATTAAGTTTTTTTATGGTTGATTGTTAGTTTTATATTGGGAATACTGTGAGTTTTGGCTCTCCCAGTTCGCAGCTGGGTAAGAAGTGGTCCCCCACTGAGGCTGTGTTCAGGGACACATTAGGGTGTGCTGACAGGCCGGTGCCACATCCCACCCGAGCACACTTCAGCAAGGGCCCCCCTGGAGGCTGCCCCCGTTCTGCTGATAGCCTGCCTTCTGGTCCAGCTTCTAAGATGTCAAGCAGCAAAGCTCAGCCTAACATACTGCAATGATGGAAACGCTCTAGCTCAGCACTCTCCAATGTGGTAACCACAAACCAGATGTGATCATTGAGTGCTAGTGGGACTGAGGAAATGAATTTTTTTTTTTAATGTAAACTTAAGTGGCCATGTATGGCTAGTGGCTGAACAGCACAGGCTTAGAGCTACCCTCCTCAACCCAAGTTCAGGCAATATGGTTGGGATTTTTTGGAAGGGGCCATAGAGCACTGGAACATCCTCTCCTCTAGTGGAAGCTTGTGCCCAGGTTGTCACCCCAGCCCACCAGCAGAGAAGCGCAGGACCCTCATTATTAGCTGAGGACTTGTGAGTAAATGGTATCTGTCATTTTCTGTTTTGGGGCCCATCTTGGTAGCCTGCCTAGTTAAGCTGGTAGCATCTCTATTTAACAGAAGTTGGTGGCCGCGTGTCCAGCAAGACAGAGGGGTCTGGGTTGGGAGGAGTGAGGATAGGGCTGTCGGCCTCTGGCTTTGCTGCCTCTGCTGCTGTGCACTTTGCTCCTTCATGTGGAGACCTGGGACCCAGAGGCAGTTTCACAAGATGACCATGTCTTGGTCATTGCGGTCTTTTTGATGACCCAAGTCACAGTGACCCAGAGGCCTGCACTGCTCTGTGGGGATGGACGCTTGTATTATTCCACACAGTCTTCTTGGAAATTGCTCTCTGTGTATGATGTAACTTTGTATCCAGGAAACAAGTTTATTGATGGACTTTTCTTTCTAATCATAACAAAAATAAGTCCTTGGTTTGAGAATCCCTAACCTCCCTTATGGAGTAAAGAGCAGTTTAACATTTTCATCTCTGCCTTGCTGTCAACCCACCCAGATCTTTAAAGAGCTGTTGATGTCTCAGGGAAGACTTTTATTACTGGGACATCTCCATAGAAACAGAATCTTTGTTTCATGATCTGTGACTCCTGCCACCTTCCCCCCCACCTGATGTTGACCCTGCATTTCTGACATCATGGTCAGCTGTTTTGTGTTGCTTGTTATGTCATAGGCACAGGATTTGGCTCCAGGTTGGGGGGGTTACAGTAATAAGAGCATGAGCTCTGTTTTTTTTTTTTTTTAAATTAATGTATTTAATGCAATGAGCCACAACAATTAAGACGAGAAAAAAAGGCTGTGGTAGCTCATTAATAATTCCACTGTGCGTAAAGAACCTTGTGTGGAGGGTTTTTTTTTTTCTTCTACTCTCATGAAAAAACAGCTGGGAATTCTACTTTCTGCAGCTCTCGTTGCAGTAGCATTTTAAAGCTGCTATCTCTGCTGCAGACTTTGATCTTGCTGGTGCCGTCAGAGCCCTGGATGGGTCATTAGGAAATGCCAGTAGTCTGACTCCTCCCCGGGGGACAGCCGTCTGCCTCACAGGAGCCAGTCCCAGTGCCAAGAGCCCCATATTTCCCTCCTTATGGCCCAGGAGCCTGAGCCTACCCTTCGGCAAGGCAGGGTGGGGCTGGCAGGCCCCTGTGTCCCAAGCCCTGCAGTGTGCCAACATAAGGAATAACAGTAGTACTGGGGTAGAGTGTAGGTGAATTGGAGTCTGTGTCTGCTACACAACAGATCCAAAGGACATTAAACCCTTCTTGTTTTTCCTACCTCCCTCCTTGAGCCCACCATCCTCAGCCTGGGAGCATGTGGATGCATGTGGGTATCTGAAGCTTCACAGAGCTTATAATGAGGAGCTTAGTAAATCCATTCTGCCTTTGAGCTTGAAGAGGGAAATGAAAGTGGCCTTCTCTTCTGGGGGTTGATGTTTGTGTCTGCAAGCCATCTTGTTGACTAGGCCACCTTGTAGGTCTTTTTGAGCTTGGATGATGATCTCGCAAGCTGTTTACTTTGACTTCACTATGCAGAAGTGCTGACTGCGCCCTCTGGACAGTGTAGGATGGTGCCTGGGCCTTGAAGAACACAGATTGAGAGACCTTGACTGGCTGGCCATGTAGGTGCAGTTGCCTGTTCAGAGTCCTCAGAAGAGGTTTTACTACACCTACTGCTCTTCACTCTTCCCTCCCAGCAGGGACTGGTAAGAGGAGAAGCTCCCCTGTGCCCTCCAGGTTTCTGAGCTCTCTAGCTGTGGTTCTGGCCCCTGCCAGGAACGTGAATTGTGCTTCCTGACGGCCTGTGGACATGTATGAGAACAGAGGAGGGCATTGTCTGCACAGTGTTCCTGCATGGGAGGCCTTGTCAGAGATGGACACTGCCTCAGGCAGATTGCTGTAGGAGACTTCATTTCCAGATGTATCTGGCATTAGTTTCAAGTTGTCGTTAGCGTGCATTCATAGTGTCTTACTCTTTTCTGCTTCTAACTCAGAGGGAACGCATTTCCTAACATGAGGCGTGTTTTATTAATGGTCCATCACAGCTGGTCACTGTTCTGTGGCCGTGAGGGAACTGAGCCACCTGCGCCTTTCTGATGGCACCCTTTGCTGCTCGTGTGGTCCCTGTCCTCACTGGTATAAACCCCTGTGGCGTAAGCGTGGCCCAGCCCCACGTGTGCTGTACTGTTTCTGTTTGGCCCAAACTAGAGACTAAGCCAGCATAGTGCTTGCTGCCAGAGCCCAGGTAAGAAGAGAGCATATCCCCTGAGCTCCAGTTGTCTGGCTCCTGCTGTTTATAAACTCTCTGGCAGATTGGAGCAGCGGGAGTCTTGGTCACACTATGTACTTGTGGGTTTTAAATTAACACATTTCATTTATTGCCTTGCTAGTTGCTTGCTGGGGGAGGGGCTTGGAGGTTAGTAGTAAGTTGCTGAGCTCTTGGGCCCACGGAGCCAAGAAGGCTGCCGCCCACTCTCTTAGATACTCATGGGCTCCAACGAAAGACAGGCTATGATGTTCCAGGTCTGGCCAAATATAAAAGGGTCTTCTTGATTTGTTTTAGGATACCGGGACCTGAAAAGTTTTCATGTGTATGTTCATTGCTTATTACTATTGCACTTGAAATCTGTGGGTGCACAGGCTGCTAGTCTGGATCTCAGTTTAAATTTAACAAGGATAAGTACCGTGGCTGCCTCCTGCCATGGTGCCTGGGAGCTCTCTGAGAATGTGTTATCAATATTTATTAACATTCTGCCACCGCGTTTTGCACCAGTGACCTGGCTGTCGGTCTCCAGGAGCTGTGGTGTGCAGAGTGAACTCATTAATTAGATTTCCTTGCCCTGATCCATGCACTACCCTTGTGTGAGAGCTCAGCTCACCTGGAGGCAGATGTGTCCTTGCTGCCATCCAGGATGCTGTCATCATGTTACAAGTTGGAATGAATCATTTTTCCTCCAAGGATTAAAAGCATCCTCATGGGATTTTACCTTCCTCTGAAGCATTTAGTGTGGATTATGTGATTTGTGTTGGAGGCTTCTGTGTCTCCGTGGGTCGTGGGGCAAAGGTGACAGTGGGGCTCTTGGGCCTGGCCACCTTTCTGTCTCAGACACCTGGGCATTCTCTGTACAGAGAAGAAAATACGCGTCTAGATTTTAAAGTGTTTTTACAAGGAGGCTTTGGCTTGAGCCTGAGAAATGGGGTTAGCCTAGAATCAAGGATTTTTAAAATAGCATTTATTGGTGATATCGTGGGAATATAGAAAAGATAAAATTTAAATCAGCTGTATCTTCTTACCCAAAGAGAATTATTGTTACATATTCATAGATTTCCTTTCAGTCTTTTTTTTTTTTTTTTTTTTTTTTTTTTTTTTTTTTGAGACGGAGTCTCGCTCTGTCACCAGGCTGGAGTGCAGTGGTGTGATCTCGGCTCACTGCAACCTCCGACTCTCTGGTTCAAGTGATTCTCCTGCCTCAGCCTCCCAAGTAGTTTTTTTTTTTTTTAAGACAGTTTTGCTTGCCTAGGCTATAGTGCAGTGATGTGATAGTAGCTTACTGCAGTCTGAACTCCTGGGCTCAAGCAGTCTTCTCACCTCAGCCTCCCAAGTAGCTGGGACTATAGGCAAGTGCCATCACACCCAGCCTTTCAGTATTTTTTTTTTTTTTTAATAGTGACAGGATCTCACTGTGTTGCCCAAGCTGGTCTTGACTCTTGGATTCAAGTGATCTTTCTGCCTCGGCCTCCCAAAGTGCTGGGATTACAGGTGTGAGCCATGGTACCCAGCCCCAAGTCTTTTTTTAATGCGTAGAAACATTTTAATAAAATTAGCACATTTATACATTTGTACATCCTGGTTTTTTCAAGCAGTTTTGTTTCATGGGTGTTTTCCATACCATTAACTCTTTTCAAATGTTAATTTTTAAGTGACCGATATCCATCATGTTAAGGTATCATAGCTTACTTGGGTTGTCTCTAATGTTTTCCTATTAGAAGTAAGTGTAGCGACCTGCTACCTTTATGTCTGACCCTGTCAATCCCAGCCAGCATGACCACACCTATGTCCAGCTGTGAAGTCTCCATCTGACTGTCCCCTTCTGTCTTCCAGATTGTTTGCTACATGAGGAGAACTTCTCGGTGAGGTGCCCTAAGCACAAGGTGAGTCAGAGGCCCCAAGAGCTACCAGCAGGGATGGGATCGAGGGTGGCTCCTCCTGAAAGACCTGAAGACCAGGTGTTGGTGGGCCTCACCCACACCTGTCCCCACCTGTGCCTCCGGCTGTTAGTCCCCTCCTGGCCCTGGGAGGGTGGAGGGGCATGATGCTGAAGGGAGACCCGTGGCATGGGGGCCAGCACTCGGAGTATTATGAGGATCCCAGGAGAAATGTGTTTTGGGAGAGGGGGTGTTTGTCTGTTCATTAAGAGAGGTGAGAATATCTAACTCGATCAAGCCACTGATTTCCACTTGAGGTGAATAGAACCCCAATTCACAGGTTGGCGTTTGGTAAGTCTGGTTCTAGGCCTTGAGGCCTGTGCAAAGGCATCTTCCCAGACTAGAAGTCGAGCTGACCACAAGGCTCTGGGGAAGCTCAGTCTCTTCCAGGTTGTGCTTCTGCAGAAGCAGCCTGATGCACAGTGGATGGGCTGTCTCGGGCTCCACTTCCCAGTTTATTTAGGAGGTGGTCTCGTGGTCGCTTCCTTTAGGAAAGGGTGGGAGGTAAGGGGTGAATGGTCTGTTTGTGGATACCACATATGTGTGTGGGGAGGGTGTATATGGAGAAGGAGCCCCAAGAAAGGATCAGAACGGAGACCACTGCCACCTGATGTTTCCTGCAGGGGCTGCACTGTGTCTCTGGCTGAGGTCACACTGACACCTGGTGGTCACTGGTCACTCGCAGTCTTAAATCTAGTAGGGCCGAAAGTACTAGAAGGAGGTTGTCCAGAGAGGTCTGCCCTCAAAATGCTCCTGAAAGATGCTTGCTTATGCTTTTCTTTAAAAATTATTTCTGGGGAAGGGCGGGGAGTGGTCACAGGATCTTATATTCTCTTTATTTTTACTTAATTTGCATGTTATTTTTAGAACTCCCCTTTTTAAGGGTCACATTTTGCCTCAGAAAACCCTGTCTGAATGTCTCCTGTTTGTCGGTCAGGACTGACTCTGCCTTTTCTTTCCTTTTCCATGTGCCACTCCTGTCCTCCCTTTGCCCTCCCTGATTTCTGCACTGTCCTCTCCCACCTGTCTGTCTCCTCTTGGTTTTGCCCGTGTCAGCCTCCCCTTCCGTGCCCTCTCCCCCCCTTGCAGAACAAGACCGCGAAAGGCAGCCTCAGCACAGAGCAGTCGGAGCGGGGGTGAGGGGGGCAGTGTGCTCGTGGGAATGGAAAGGACAGCAAGCACAGGTGAGTCGGGGCCACCGGGCTCCCTGCATCCTGCCCGGCTCCCAGCAGGCGTCGTTGCCTCTGCCCTCCTGCTCGCTCTATGCTCTGCCACCAGCATTTCATCCTGTGGATGACAACGCCAGGTGGATGCAGTGTTCTTCCATTGGTTACTTAGCTCCCCAGATTATCTGTGGAAAGGAGTGGGGGCTTCTAAACTGTCCACTGCCAATGGGGTGCAGGGTGACTGTTCCTGAAGGCAGCCCTTCAGGGCACAGCTGGCCAGGGGTGGCCTTGTGAGTGGACACAACAGGCTTTTAGGTCTCTTTCTTGGACAGGGCATCTCTTGCCAGTAGCCCCTGCTCTTTCCCCCGTCTCAGAAAGGGTTCCAGTCAAAGGTCTCTTCTTTTTAATTTACTACATTTCTGTAAAGCTTATGGTGTGTTTTCCTTTGAAAACAACAGAACTCTTGGGTTTTGTTATTAGAAATCTTTTTTTTCCAGTATTATGAAGGATTCCTTTTTGCAGAAGTACAAAGGAAAGAAAAATCCTCAAAGATTTAGTAGACTCTAGCATCTGATTTAATTTTACTCTTAAAAATCTCGAGGCTGGGCATGGTGGCTCATACCTGTAATGCCAGCACTTTGGGAGGCTGAGGCAGAAGGATCGCCTAAGCCCAGGAGTTCAAGACCAGCCTGGGCAACAATGAGACCCTGTGTCTACATTAAAAAAAAAAAAAAAAATTAGCCATGCGTGGTGGTACATGCCTTTAGTCCCATCTACTCAGGAGGCTGAGCTGGGAGGATCACTTGATCAAACCTGGAGGTTGAGGCTGCAGTGAGCCATGATCGTGCCGCTACATTCCAGCCTGGGCCACAGTGAGACCCTGTCTCAAAAAAAGAAAAAAAATTCTTGTGATTGAGTTGTGCTTGCTGTGAGTTTGTGTGGGATTATTGTGGTCACGGCCCTCTTGGCAGGCATCTGTGAAAACAGGATGATAGGACTTGGGGTCTCTAGAAGCTGCAGGCCTCTGAGCTCCATGCTGCTCCTTCACCCTCCCTGCGTCACTGAGGCATGAAGGGAAATAGGTTGTAAAGAAAAGAAAACCCAAATGTACCTTGTGGCACTTGCTGCTACAGGATGGGGCAGGAGGACTAGTTGTCTCAGAAATATTCATTGAGGGGTCATTTCTCTCAAATGGGAGGACTTCTGTGTCGACCTCAGGAGTTTGACTCACACAGCTACGCTAGACGTGTCCCTTCCGGCACCACCATGTGCCTGACCACCTTCTGGAACGTGCCCTCCTCCTTGTTACCACTACTAATTTCCAGAGAAGGCCCCTCGGCTGCCACGCCATTTGAGAAGTCAAGTGGGGGCTGCTGAGTGCCTTCTTGATAGAGCGTTGAGTGTGGTGCCTTTCTCTTTCCTCTTCCGGGGAGTAGGGCTGGCAGTGAAGGGATCAGAGCAAAGTGGGGAGGTGGGTGGAAGCCATTCCATGTGTTCCTGGGTCAGAGGAACCAGATGAGCAAATGAAGCCTCTTGGACTTGGAGTACATTGCCACCATCAGCGAGTGGCTGCTGGTTTTCCAGAACCTGCTGGGCAGCACTGCCTGCTCCTTTTCCTGGGATTAGCCCTTAGGACAAGGCAGCCATTGCATTGCGTGGTTTTGAAAGGACTGTTTCTGTTGGCCCTCCTGCATGTCCCTACGCTCCTGAGGGTGTCACTGTGCCTTCCCATTGTCACCCCTGTGCCAGCACAGGCCAAGATGGTTAGAGTCAAGTTCTGTAGGGGACCACGATGCGTATTCCTGGAATGTGTCCTAGAAGACCTGGTTAAGGAAAGAGCTTAAGTGTTTTTTGTTTTTGTCCTGGAATTGCATCTGTGTTTGAGAAAAAGAAAGTTCAGGCCCTGGGCCTGGTGGACAAATCTCCTGGGGATTTTGTTCATCTGTTCCTCTCTAGTCATTCTTGGGCCTTCCTTCCTAGCTGTCAGGGCCCTTGACTCTTTTTTTTTTTTTTTTTGGAGACGGATTCTCACTTTGTCGCCCAGGCTGGAGTACAGGGGCACGATCTCGGCTCACTGCAACCTCCATCTCTGGGGTTCAGGCGATTCTCCCGCCTCAGCCCTCCCGAGTAGCTGGGACTACAGGTGTGCACCACCACGCCCAGCTAATTTTTGTATTTTTTGTAGAGATGGGGTTTCACCATGTTGCCCAGGCTGGCCTTGAACTCCTGACATCAAGTGATCTTCCCGCCTTGACCTCTCAAAGTGCCGGGATTACAGGCGTGAGCCACGGCGCCCGGCCAACTCTTGAACAGAACAATGAGCTTCATCCTTCTGGGTTGAAGCACAGTGATGAAGTGGCCTCACCCATTGAAGAGAGTCGTCTCAGGTCCATTGAGGTTGAACCATTCCATTCAGCTCTTGGAGGGAGAGGATGGACTCACTGCATCCAGTCCTGTCCATCTGAAATGTTTTTTATGTGCTGTTCCCACAAGGCATATAGCTTTTCCTGGTTTCCCAGTTCAGCAGTGACATTGAGGGTGGTCACCGTCCTTCATTTGTGGTAGAAGCCCTGGTGACTGGGGATAGAATCACACCTCTGACTAAAGGAGGACTCATCTTGGGCCCCATGCTGGGGACAGAGAGCCACCATTATTGGGTGCCCTGACAAGGCAGGGAACAGACAGCGAATGTGCGTGTGTGTCTGCCTCCTAGTGCGCCATGTTCTGACAGAGTGATATGATAGGTGCTGTGTGACTAAGATCAGACTACTCCATGTCTCTGTACTTCGGTTTCTTCTGTAAAAACAGGAATAGCAGTGCCAACCTTTTGAGATTCCATTGGGAAATGTCTCTAAGTGCCAGCACAGCACACTGGCTCTCAGCCCGTTGATCTGCCATGCCTAGCTGTGGGTTTCTCTTGGGAGTTGGAGGGGTCAAGGCAGCAGATTGGACCCTGCAGCTGTCTCTTATAGCAAAAAATACCCAAGGCTTGGGGTTAAAAGATGCCGCCCCTGCCTCCCAGCCTGTGAGGTATCTGGTACCTGACCCTCGCCAGGAGTGCGGAGGGGAAAAGTCCTTCTGCAGGCCCGTGGTTGCCCACTGTCTCTTTGTGCCAAGGGGGTTGCCTTGCTGGCTTGTGTCATTGGTTGGCAGGGCTTTTGACAGTGGAGTCCCTATACCCAGCTCTTCCTCCTGTCGTGAATTAAACAAGGAGGCCCCAGCTTGCCCTAACAGGCCCTGTGGTCCAGCACATGGGAAGCATAACCCTGATCAGGGCTAATGCTGCATCCTGGATGCTATGTACCCTGCACAGAACAGCCATGGATGGACGCTGAGCAAGGCAGGGAACGGGGCGTGGCCCCCCTGCCCCTGGAGCTGGACATCACACAGTCCATTTGTGTGTATGCATGAATGTCACATTCTAGAGTTCCCCTTTCCCCAAACTGGTCCAGAGGCAGTCCAGGGTTACACCTCCAGAGGAGAGCCTGAGTCTGTCCACTTTCCTTCCCCACCAGCCCCAGCCCAGGCATTGTGGCTGCTATAGTGCCCGCCTCCCTGCCACTGCTCAGCAGCCAAGTGCAATCTTCATTAGGCCTCCCTCCAGTCCTGTCCCTTCTCTACGTCAGAGATTCTTGTCATCTTCCACACAAAGCCCAGACATCTCACCTTGCCTTCCAGAGCCCTATGGAAGTCTCAGGTGACTCTCCAGGCCCCTGGCTGCCTCCAGCTCCTCAGGGACCAGGCTTCCTTCCTCTGGGCTTCTGCACACACAGTTCCTTGTGCTGGAAACACTTTGGCTCCCCATCTTCATGTTGAAAACAGGCTCCCATCTCCTGGGTCTCAGCTTAAATCCTACTTCCTCAGAGAAGCCTTTCCCTTTCTAAATCCTTGTCTCCATTGCCCCCCTCCTCGCTTGCAGCCATCCTAGCATCACCACAATTTCAGATCATTTACTTGTTTACTACCTGTCTCTCCACTAGACTGTAAGCTCCATTAGGGCAGGGACCACGTCTGTCTTTGCACCATCAAAGCCTAGCCCAGAGCGGGGCATGTAACTATGCTAGTGCCAAGTGAGTCTGTGTTAAAGAAATGAGTGCATCCCAGGCCGGGCACAGTGGCTAACGCCTATAATCCCAGCACTTTGGGAGGCGGGCAGATCACGAGGTCAGGAGATCGAGACCATCCTGGCTAACAATACAAAAATACAAAAAATTAAAACACTAAAATACTAAAAATACAAAAAATTAGCCGGGCGTGGTGGTGGGCGCCTGTAGTCCCAGCTACTCGGGAGACTGAGGCAGGAGAATGGCATGAACCCGGGACGTGGAGCTTGCAGTGAGCTGAGATCGTGCCACTGCACTCCAGCCTGGACGACAGAGTGAGACTCCATCTCAAAAAAAAAAAAAAAAAAGAAAGAAATGAGTGCATCCCAGGGAAAAAAGGGCTCTTGGACCCTGACCATCGGTGCCCTTAATCAGTATAGATTCAGAATTAGGTTTCCCTTCATATCCTCCCTCTCTAGTCGGAATTAGTGTCTGTTTTAGAAATGAGGAAATGGGCTCTGGGCGAATCCTGGCCAGGGTGAGTGGTGTTGAGATGATGAGTTTTTGCTGCAGTTGGGAAAGGCAGGCTTGGAGTCTGATGTGGAAGGACGCGAGGATGGCGTCCCGGGTTCAGGCCACGGATGAGGCCAAAGGGGAGCAGAAAGGACAGTGTGAGCGAGAAGGGAAGGGAGGGAACAAGTGAGGGAGCCTGGGAAGGTGTTGGCCCAAGACGAAACCCTGGATGCTGGCAGCTGGGGAGCAAGGTGATGTTCTTTAAAAGAGAATTCACAGTCTTCAGCACAGGGGCGGCAGGTCGCTCCTGCTGCTCAGGCTGGCTGGCACCAGGGCTGCTCCCAGGCTCACTGTCGGGGACCCAGCCGTCTCTCAGCCACACCCCATGCCCTAGCATACGCAGCCCCTAGGGCCCAGTTGGGAAAGCCCCAGTCCCACCTCTGGCCACGTCGCTTTGGGCTACATGTGTCGCCTTCCTGAGCTTTAGCTCTCTTGAAGATGGGGGTCAGGCAGATCCACGTTACTGTGATATAATATCTGTAAAGCTTCTAGCCCAGGGCCTGGCACATAGTGCTTAGAGAATTTTCCTTCCTTCCTAATTTCCCTACTGAAGGAACAACTTTTTTAAAGTAACTCTTGAAAAGTTAGGGTCCCATTACATTCAGGATATCGTGTGTTTGGGCTGGTCTAGTCATCAGACCTGAGGAACACGAAGGCTATAGAGGGCAGAGCCCCAGGCTGCAGGTGCTGAGGAACTGCCGCTGCCTGGGCCACCACGCGCCCCAGGGAGGGGCCCACAAGTAGCAGCTCGCAGAGCCAACTGGCCAGGCAGACCCTGGCTGCTGACATGTGCTTCATTCTTCACTGGGGAGCTGGTGTGGGGTCCTGTTCTTCTGAGTAATGAGCAAGATTGGGGTGCAGGCCCAAGACTGCTGTGTATTGGTAAAGAGGGCAAACCCTGCCCTGTCCCCTCCTTGAGCAGAGCCTGGCAGGGTACGTGTGGGCATTGGCCTTGATTCACACGGGCATCCTGCAGCCCCAACAAGATGACACCCTTCTGTGTTCTTGGAGGTAGGTGCCCATTAGCTCAACTGCTGGCCTGCATTCCCAGGGCTTGCTTTTACTTGTCTGTGGTGATGTTGTGCCATGGCCTCTGTGTGTGTTCCTGCTTATTGGTGTTTTCTGCCAAGTAGTCAGGAACCTCCTTGGGCAAGAGCATGTGCATGTACGTGCTTGGGAACAGCTCAATCTTAGCTCCCGCAGGCCCCAGCCGCCTTAGCAGTTCTGCGTGTGTGAACTTTATGGAAGCAGAAAGGGCTGGTGACACTTGGGTTCTTGGGGTTTGTCAGGGGAGGGCACCAAATTGGTCTTGAGGAAGCAGTTAGGTGAGCCCCAGTGACAGTCTTAAGCACAGTGATTGGCAGATAGCAAGTGAAGGAGGGGCAAGGCTGCCACCACTTCTGGCTTCTGGTGAAATTTTACTGGACTGATTCCTAGGAAACTGCTGTTTGTCTTTGAGACCTTTCCACATCAGATGGCCCATGAAGCGTTCCACAGGGACCTTTGGTACAATCCATCTGTCCTACGTGGGCCATCAGAATCCCCTTCTGCACATGGGCTGGAAGAGGAGAGAAGCCCTCCAGCCTGGGGATGGGAGACCTAGGGGTCTCAGGTTCCTGAGAGGTCGAAAGGATTAACATAGTCCAGCTCTGTCTGAGCCTCAGAAAACCTGCCCTCCCTGTTAGAGGCCATGGGAAGAGTGTTCTTTTTAAGCATGAAGAACTGACTGTGGGCCAGGTGTAGTGGCTCACGCCTGTAATCCCAACACTTTGGGAGGCCGAGGTGGGCAGATCAGCTGGGGCCAGGAGTTCTAGACCAGCCTAACATGGCAAAACCACATCTCTCCTAAAAATACAAAAATTAGCCGGGTGTGGTGGCGTGCACCTGTGATCCCAGCTATTTGGGAGGCTGAGGCACAAGAATCACTTGAACCCAGGGGGCAGAGGCTGCAGTGAGCCAAGAGCACACCACTACACTCCAGTCTGGGCAATAGAGCAAGACTGTCTCAAAAAAAAAAAAAGACTGTCATTAGCCAAGCATGGTGGCGTGTACCTGTAGTCCCAGCTACTTGGAAGGCTGAGGTGGGAGGATTGCTTGAGCCCAGGAGGTCAAGGCTGCAGGGAGCCAAGGCGACAGAGCGATGTCTTGTCTCAAAAACAAACAACTAGCTGTGTTGACTAGAGGCAGCTGTGAAACTGTCCTAAAAGGCTGGACTTCGAGAAGTTTCTTCCACAGATTGACCAGGTACTGTAGGTTTCAGTCACAACTGGGGTCCTGACACTGGCAAAACCCCACCAGCTGCCCCACAAGTGGGGCCTGCCCTGAGGTCAGGGAGTTCTCTGCTGTACTGGTTCCTTTATGCACTAGGAAGGCAGACATGCCCTGAGGAGCCCTCAGAGTCCAACCCCAGCACCCCCACTAGGTCATTGCTGCCTTTAATCACATTCCAGATCCAGAGCCACACAGTGGCCCTGGCATTGGTCTCGGGTGTGTCCCATATCAGCAGCACATCTGCAGAGGGGCGTGAGTGCAGGCTCCCTGCTGAAAGCTCCCAGGGGTACCACGGAACAGCGGCTGTTGGTGGTGGACCCTGTGGAGGCTCCTGGCCTTCACTGTGTGTCCCTTGTCTTCCAGGTGAGACTGTGGAGATGAGAAGGTGGTGGACACTCGTGATGGAATGGAAATCGTCCTACCGTGCAGCCACACCCTGCCCTGCCCCGCCCCGCCCCGCCCGCGTGCCTGCCCATGCCAGCACTTCCTTAAGTTCTCACATCACACTCAAACCAGTGACACCACAGGAAAGAAAGACCCAAGACGTTGGAATGGCTGTTTCCATGGACACAATCTCCATAGTGACAATGTGGGGGGAGGGGGGAGGGGTGGGATGATGGGGAAAGGGTGGGGGGAATTAAAAGGGAGGGATAAATATATATATATAAATCTATTTTTAGTCTGGAAAGACTTTGTTTAAATGAAAGGTGCGCTATCCCTTTTGATTCTGTTTTAAAATTATCTCGTTAAAGATCTCCAAATTTGTTCCGATGACAAGTGAAATTTAAATGTGAGATTGAACTGAACAAACCCTCATCTCATGAAGGACGGGGTGTGTGTGTGGCGTTGATCTTTAGCCTGTCTCACACCAGTTCAGAAAACACTAGACCCAGGATTGAAAAAGCAAACCACAGCAGAACCATCCTTTTGTCATTAATTTGTCTCAAAGTGGGAAGGTTTTGGGGGAGGGGGAAATACAGGGATGGTCCATGTTTTCAAGAGTAGGGGAATGATGTTTAAACACAAAAATAAATTTTTTTTCATTTCCAGAAACACTATTTATTTATGGTTTTTTTTTTTTAATTTTTTCTTTTTGGGGGTGAAATTGGCAGATGCCTGAGGTCATAGCTGTGTCCTGGGTCACTGTGGCTGGTGAGGACCTCAAGGACCCCATCAAGTGTACACAGCAGCAGCAAAATCAAGGGATGACCCTCCTCTGGGGCCCCCTGTCCTCAGCACATTCCAGGCAGCTGTGCCCTGACCCACAGGGACCCGTGGGGATGGGAGGAGGTCCAGGCCTGTGTTGCCAGAGCTGGCAGTGTGAGCTGTAGGCAGGGACGGGGAGGGACTGTCGCTGTGATCAGAGTGGGTTAAGCTGACCAGGAACACCCATTTAACCCCTTTTTCTTTTTGCTTTCATTTTTATAAAGGAAAAGAGGACCTGTCAGATAGGCAGCCCCATGCTACGTGATTCTTTATGTTGTGTTGTTTTGTTTTGTAAATTGTATAATTTTTAAATATCTGAGTTTTAAAAAAAGAAAAAAGTACAAAAAAATCTTGTTATGGCCTTAAGAAGGGGTTAGTGCATCTTTCAGGGGTCACTCTGCCATGGGGATAAAATAGCTGTTTCACAAACAGTTTTATTTAAAAAAACAAAAAACAAAAAAAATCAAAAAATCAAAAAAATAATAAACTTCATTTTAACCTTGTTTCCTCTTCTGTTTACTTTAAAGTGAATGCGTCTCTTCCTTCTCCCATTCTAACCCCCAAAGGGTAGCTCTGGTTCTCCAGAGGAGGCCATGATCAGAACCTGTCTGTCCCATTCCTGGCCTCTCGATGGCCACGCAGCCGGGAAGCAAACAAAATTTAGGGTTCTTCTGCCACTCCTCTGGGCAGGTGGAGTGTGGCCAGTGTATGGGGACAGTCAGATTTACTCAAGTTGATATGAAGACATATTTCCAATCAACATTAAGGGTTATAAAAAAATAATGGAATGTTAATGGACTTTTTTAGAGAATGGAAATACTGGAAGGAATATTGTGAAGCAGAAATAAGCAATTATAAATGAGTTCTGTGTTCATCAATTTGGGGCAGCAGAAATGGCAGATTAATTGTATTTTAATGGCTACATCAAGCAGTCCATTTCTCATTTCACTCCGCCAGGATGGAGGTGTGGGTGGGTGCGCCGTGCCGGCCGTAGGACCAAGCTTAGGCAACTGAACAGGACCTGCACAGAAATGATGGCTTTTTTGAGCTAGTTGTTGTCTCATTCTGGTCTTGACTTGGCATTAATACAGTTAAAATGAAATGGATAGACTTCAGGTGTCAAGGGCTAAACCACAAAACTTGAAAAATATGTATCTTGAGGAAAATATTTTCCTGACAGCAAATGTTTGTCATTTTGTCTTTTATTCTTTTGTCCCCTTTTGATTTGCCTGAGTGGAGCACTTGTGATTGTTCTAGGTCTTTCCTTAAATTGGCTTCAGTAATGACCTTCACTGGGGAGTGGCAGTGATACACGCATGCCTCCTGACTCCAGTTTCTGGCTTCTGCAGTTCTCCTCAACTGCTCAAGTGCCTTTTAGTTCCTTTAGTGTTTGTCTTAATTGATTTTTTTTAAAGTAGTTTTATGTTCACAGAAGGATTAAGCTGACGGTACAGACAGTTCCCATATAACCCCTTCCCCCCGTATGCATACCTTTCCCTCTATCAACATCCCAACCAGAGTTGGCATACTGTTTTCACCCAAAGTCCATAGTTTATACTAGGGGCCACTCCCGGTGGTGTACATTTTATGGCCTTTGACAAATGTATAAAGACCTGGATCTGGCAGGGCGTGGTGGCTCTCGCCTATAATCCCAGCATTTTGGGAGGCTCAGGTGGGTGTATCACTTGAGTTCGAGAACAGCCTGGGCAACATGGCGAAACCCCATCTCTACATAAAAATACAAAAATTAGCCAGGCATGATGGTGCATGCCTGTAGTCTCAGCTACTTGGGAGGCTGAGATGGGAGGATCACTTGAGCCCAGGAGGTCGAGGCTACAGTGAGTCGTGATCGCGCCACCACACTTCAGCCTGGGTGACAGCAAAATCCTGTCTCAAAAAGACGAGGACGCACCATGATCCAGAGTAGTTTCACTGCTCCAGGGATCCTCCGTGTCCCACTGTTCATTCCTCCTTAGCCCCAGTCCCTCACCGCTGAGCCTTTTACTGTCTGCAAAGTTTTGCCTTTTCCAAAGTATCATATAGTTGAGATTAGATAGTAGGTAGCCTTTTTTAGATTGGCTTCATTCACTTAGTAATGTGCATTTAAGGTTCAACCGTGTCTTTTCATGACTTGATAGCTTGTTTCTTTTTAGTGATAAATAATTCCATTGTCTGGCTGTACCACAGTTTATCCATTCAACTGCTGAAGAACATCTTGGTTGCTTTCAAGTTTTGACAATTACAAATGAAGCTGCTGTAAACATCCCTTTGCAGGTTTTTGTGTGGACATAAGGCCTCAACTCCTTTGGGTAAGTACAGGAAGCACGATTGGTGGATTGTATGGTAAGAGTATGTCTAGTTTTGTAAGAAATTGCCAAACTGTCTGGATCACCTGAGGTCAGGAGTTTGAGACCAGCCTGGCCAACATGGTGAAACCCTGTCTCTACTAAAAATACAAAAATCAGCCAGGCATGGTGGCTCACGCCTGCAGTCCCAGCTAAACGGGAGGCTGAGGTGGGAGGATTGCTTGAACGCAGGAGGCAAAGGTTCCAGTGAGCTGAGATCATCGTGCCACTGCACTCCTAGCCTGGGTGACAGAGTGAGTGAGACTCTGTCTCAAAAAAAAAAAAAAAAAAAAACTGAGAAAAGGAAAAGAAATTGCCAAACTTTCTTCCAAAGTGTCTGTACCATTTTGTACTCCCACCAGCAATGAATGAGTTCCTGATGCTCCACATCCTTGCCAGCATTTGGTGTTGTCAGTGTTCTGGATTTAAGCCATTCTAATAGGTGTGTATATAGCCATTTATTTTTTTAATACTCATAAAGTTTTTAAATTGTGGTTAAAAAAATGTACCATCATAACAGTCACAGTACAGTTTAGTGGGAAATGTGTTCAGATTGTTGTGCAACCAATCTCCAGAATTTTTCATTTTATAAAACGGAAGCTTTACCCATTAAACTGCCCCCCTGCAGGCTGGCCCTGCCCCTGGAGCTTTCCATTTCTGTTTCTAGGGTACAAGCAGCCCTCGATACCCACAGGCTCCGCATCCACAAATTCAACCACACATCAAAGATAACTTGAGAAAGTATAACAACTAAAAATACAAATAAGAGCAGTACAGTATAGCAACTATTTATGTAGCATTTACACTGTATTAGGCATTATAAATAATCTAGAGATGATTTAAAGTATACAGGAGCATTTGCATAGGTATACTATGCCATTTTACATAAGGAACCTGAGCATCCTTGGGTTTTGGTATTTACCGGGGGTCCTGGCACCAATCCCCTCCAGGATACCCAGACACAACTATTCCACTGCCCATAACCCCGTCCCCTTGCAGCTGTGGAAACGCAGAGGTGCTGCTCTGAGGGCAGACAGACCCCACCACTCAGCACTCTTGAGTCGGACCCAGCAGAAACCCATCCCATGGGAGGAGCTGGGAATTGGAGGGTCTCTCCCAGTAGCATTGCTATGCCTGGCAGGGGGAAGGGCAAGAACAAGCAAAATGCTCCAACTTGACTACCCTTCCCAGTGCAGTCCCTCCCTGGCTCTGCACTAGCTGGCATTGCAGCATCCTAACTAGTTTCTAGAATTCTCACGATGTTTTGGTCTCCTATAGCTTTAACATTGAGCTCTCTAGGAGAACGAGAGCCCGCAGTTTCCTAGTCTACCACTTGCTGACATATTTTCACACCATCTCACTTGGCAACGTCCATAGGGCCTGCCAGGGCACAGTGCACTTTTTACCATGACACAGCAGTACCACTGTTCAGGGAAGGCAGGTTGGATCTGTTTCCTAAAAATAATAAATCCCAGAAACATCTATACTGACCATTAATAGAATGTAATGTCCAAACAGTATAGAATAGTAGCTCAGCATACACATTGGATGTGGACTCCTAACACCGCTGTGTGACTTGAACCTTGTTATGTGATCTCTGAGCCTCAGTCTCTGTGCCTTGGGGACCATAAAACCACCTCCTTAGGGGGCTGTGGGAGGATTAATGAGCTAGAGCACACAGTCTGACCAGCAGTTTCTGGCACATAAGTGCCCGATCAATGGAAGCCACAGGTGCACAATGATTGGAAAAGGCCACAGGCATTGTTATTAAATGTTTTCCTCATGCTGCCATATCTTGAATTACAGGCCTCTGGCTGGTAAGGAGGGCACTCGGGAGGACACTGCCCACATTGCAGGCATGCCTGTCCCTGCCCTTCACACCCCCATCATGATTCATGATGACTGCTTGGGGAGGGCCTGCCACCTCAAAAGGCCAAGAGTGCATACAGGTAATGTATAAAGGGCCACCATGTAACAAGCACCCAGACCATCCTGCTGTCCCTGCACCTTGATTCTCTCACAGTCCCAAATAGAACAGTGCTGCCATGTAGGACAGGAACATTCATTCAGCTGAGGCCAGTTTGGGAGACCACAAGCCAGATCTGAGAAGTCCCCAGATAGGCATGGGTCTTGCTCTCTCTGTCAGTTGAGTAGCTTCAAAACTTCTGTTGGGCCAGGTGGCTCATGCCTCTATTTCCAACACTTTGGGAGGCCAAGGCAGGAGGATCACTTGAAGCCAGGAGTTCCAGACCAGCGTGGGCAACATAGTGAGGACCCATCTCAACAAAAAAATTAGCCGAGCGTAATGATGTGCACCTGTAGTTCCAGCTACTCGGGACGCTAAAATAGGATCTCTTGATTGAGCACAGGAGTTTGAGTGAGCTATGATCACAGCTCTGCACTCCAGCCTGGGCAACAGAGCAAGATCTTGTCTCTAAAAAATATATATATATTTTTAAATTTTAAATAAACTGTTCTCCCTGCCTTTTGTTCCCCAGATCCAGTCTTCATCCAGACCTGAAAAGACCCAGGCTCCAGCTGCTGGCCTCCTGCTGCCCCTCAGGCCACCTGCACAGGAAATTCCAGGGGTGGGTTGGTCCCACTGCCAGTGCCGTGGCCTACAGTGCTAGGCAGCCCCTCAGTCAGCTAGACAAAGTTCTCCATGAATCCTTCCCAGAAAGTCCTGTTCCAGCCTGGGACAACGTCCCCATGGACCCTCATGGCACTGCTGGCTTGTCATGTCAGCTATGTTACCTTCCTACTCCCCGTGGTCATCATTACGTTGGGGCATTGACTCACAGCCTTACCACCATGCTCCCAGTACACAGCTCAGCACCCAGTACAATCCATACCTCCAACTTGGGTGGAGCTCCCATGCCAGGCCACCTCTCGCCCACCACCCTAATCTGGGTAGGCAACTAGAGCGAGCAGGGGCAAGGACCTCTGCAGCAGCCCATACCCGCCCTGGCCTGACCCTGCACCCACTGGCAGCACAGTCAACACAGCAGGTTGGCTCACAGCAGAAGGCAAAGGCCATCATCAGCTCCCTTTATAAGGGAACGGTCATGCACTGGGTGTGCTGAGAGTGTCCTGCCTGGTCCTCTGTGCCTGGTGGGGTGGAGGTGCCAGGTGTGTCCAGAGGAGCCCAATGGGCAGTGAGGCAGCCATGGGGCTGGATGCACTGGTGCCCCTGGCAGTGACAGTGGCCATCTTCCTGCTCCTGGTGGACCTGATGCAGCAGCACCAACGCTGGACTGCACGCTACCCGCCAGGCCCCCTGCCACTGCCCGGGCTGGGCAACTTGCTGCATGTGGACTTCCAGAACATATACACCTTCAACCAGGTGAGGGAGGAGGTCCTGAGGATCCCCCACCACCAGCAAACATGGGTGGTGGGTGGAGCCACAGTCTGGACAAGAAGCCAGGCTGAGAAGGGGAAGCAGATTTGAGGGACTTCCTGGGGGAGGGCATTTATGCATGGCATGAAAGATGGGATTTTCCAAAGGCCAAGGAAGAGTAGGGCAAGGGCCTGGAGGTGGAGCTGGACTTGGCAGTGGGCGTGCAAGCCCATTGGGCAGCATATGTTAGGAGCACAAAGTCCCCTCTGCTGACACCAGAAGGAAAGGCCTTGGGAATGGAAGACGAGTCAGGGTCCTGTGTGCCGTTTAAATCAGGAAATCAGGCTGTGCGTGGTGGCTCACGCCTATAATCCCAGCACTTAAGGAAGCCAAGGTGGGCGGATCACCTGAGGTCAGGGGTTCCAGATGAGTCTGGCCAACATGGCAAAAACCGGTCTCTACTAAACATACAAAAAATGAGCTGGGCACAGTGGTGCACGCCTGCAATCCCAGCTACTTGGGAGGCTGAGGCAGGAGAATTGCTTGAACCTAGGAGGCAGAGGTTGTAGTGAGTGGAGATTGTGCCATTGCCTTGCAACCTCGGTGACACAGCCAGACAATGTCTAAATAAACGAATAAGAAATCAGGCCGGGCGCGGTGGCTCACGCCTGTAATCCCGGCCCTTTGGGAGGCTAAGGCGGGCGGATCATGAGGTTAGGAGATCGAGACCATCCTGGCTAACACAATGAAACCCGTCTCTACTAAAGATACAAACCAATTAGCCAGGCGAGGTGGTGGGCACCTGTAGTCCCAGCTACTTGGGAGGCTGAGGCAGGAGAATGGCATGAACCCATGAGGCAGAGCTTGAAGTGAGCTGAGAACACACCATTACACTCCAGTCTGGGCGACAGAGCGAGACTCTGTCTCAAAAAAAAAAAAAAAAAAAAAAAAAAAAAAAAAATCAACGGCTGGGCGCGGTGGCTCACACCTGTAATCCCAGCATCTTGGGAGACCAAGGTGGGGGGATCACAAGGTCAGGAGTTCGAGACCAGCCTGGCCAACATGGTGAAACCCTGCCTCTACTAAAAATACAAAAATTAGCGGGGCACGGTGGTGGGCACCTGTAATCCCAGCTACATGGGAGGCTGAGGCAGGTGAATTGCTTGAACCCGGGAGGTGGAGGTTGCAGTGAGCCAAGATCGCGCCATTGCGCTCCAGCCTGGGTGACAGAGCCAGACATGGTCTAAATAAATGAGTAAGTTAGAAATCAAGGATGAAGGGATATAGTGGACCCGGTTCAAACCTTTTGCACTGTGGGTCCTCGGGCCTCACTGCTCACCGGCATGGACCATCATCTGGGAATGGGATGCTAACTGGGGCCTCTCGGCAATTTTGGTGACTCTTGCAAGGTCATACCTGGGTGACGCATCCAAACTGAGTTCCTCCATCACAGAAGGTGTGACCCCATCCCCGCCCCAGGATCGGGAGGCTGGGTCTCCTCCTTCCACCTGCTCACTCCTGGTAGCCCCGAGGGTCGTCTAAGGTTCAAATAGGACTAGGACCTGCAGTCTGGGGGGACCCTGGCCTGATGGAGGCCCTGACCCAACGGAGGCCCTGACCCTCCCTCTACAGCTGCGGCACCGCTTTGGGGACGTGTTCAGCCTGCAGCTGGCCTGGACGCCGGTGGTCGTGCTCAATGGGCTGGCGGCCGTGCGTGAGGCTCTGGTGACCTGCGGCGAGGACACCGCCGACCGCCCGCCTGCGCCCATCTACCAGGTCCTGGGCATCGGGCCGCGCTCCCAAGGCAAGCGGCGGTGGGGGACAGAGACTGCGTTTCCGTGGGTCCTGGGTGGGCGGTGACCGTAGCCCAAGCTGGGCTGAGAGGGCGCGGGGTTGTGGGCCAGTGAGTGGGTTGGGGACAGCGAGCCAGGAAACCACTTCCATTGGGGAGGTGCGAGTCTGTGGGCGGGAGGAAGAGGGGCTTGTGAGTGGGCGGGGCAACTGCCGAGACCCACCAGGAACCGGGTGGGCGGAGCTGGCGCCTTTCCCAGCTGGAAGCGGGTGTCTAGAAGCCGGGATGGACTCTGCTGTGGGCTCAGTATGGGCGGGGCGGGACGGGCGGGATCTTCCCTGAGTGGAAAGGCAGTCAGGGTCGGAAGAGCCAAGGTGGGGCCAAGACCCAAGCAAGGTGAGTGAGCAAAGAGCAGGCCCTGTGCCCAGCTGGACAGGGCCAGGGACTGCGGGAGACCAGGAAAAGCACAGGGTTGGAGTGGGCGGCGGAGGGCGGGGCCAAGGCCTCCATGACCACGCCCATGTGTCCGTCCCGCCCCCAGGGGTGTTTCTGGCACACTACGGACACGCGTGGCGCGAGCAGAGGCGCTTCTCCGTGTGCACCTTGCGCAACTTGGGCCTGGGCAAGAAGTCCCTGGAGCGGTGGGTGACCGAGGAGGCCGCCTGCCTCTGTGCCGCCTTCGCCGACCAAGCCAGTGGGTGATGGGCAGAGGGGCACAAAGCGGGAACTGGGAAGGTGGAGGACTGGGAAGGCGACCCCTGACCCGCATCTCCCGCCCCCAGGACGCCCCTTTCACCCCAACGGCCTCCTGAACAAAGCGGCGAGCAACGTGATCGCCTCCCTCACCTGCGGGCGCCGCTTCGAGTACGACGACCCTCGCTTCCTCAGGCTACTGGACCTAGCTCAGAAGGGATTGAAGGAGGAGCTGGGCTTTCTGCGAGAGATGTGGAGCGAGGGACCGCAGGGTCTCTGCAGGGCGAGCTCCTGAGAGGTGCCGGGACTGCAGCCGGACCTCCAAGGAGCAGGGTTTGCATAGAGTGGTTTGGGAAAGGACATTCCAGAAGAGCTCACTGCTAGAGGAAGGGCCTTGAGGAGGAGGAGACATCTCAGATACGGTCGTGGGAGAGGTGTGCCCGGGTCAGGGGGCACCAAGAAAGGCCAAGGACCCTGTGCCTCCTGTCCACATTGGAGATTTTGATTTTTAGGTTTCTCCTCTGGCAGCCCAGGGCAAGGAGAGAGGGTGGAGGCTGGCACTTGGGGAGGGACTTGGGGAGGTCAGTGGTGGGGACAGGCAGGCCCTGGGTCTTCCCTGGAGGCAGCTGGGGCCTGAGACTGGTCCAGGTGAACGCAGAGCACAGGAGGGATTGAGACCCCGTTCTGTGTCAGCTGTAGATGCTGAATGTTGTCCCCCTCCTCCTGCGCATCCCAGGGCTGGCTGGCAAGGTCCTACGCTCCCAAAAGGCTTTCCTGACCCAGCTGGATGAGCTGCTGACCGAGCACAGAATGATCTGGGACCCAGCCTAGCCACCCCGAGACCTGACTGAGGCCTTCCTGGCAGAGAAGGAGAAGGTGAGAGTGGCTGACACGGTAGGGACCAGGGGTGGTGGGTTGAGCGTCCGGGAAGAATGAGGCAGGCAAAAGGTGGGTCCATTGGATCACTTGGCAAGTGGCACCTGGGCTGACAGGTGCAGAATGTGGAGGTCATTTGGGGGCTCTCCCGTTCTGTCCCCTGAGTACCCTCTCAGCCCTGCTCAGGCCAAGGGGAACCCTGAGAGCAGCTTCAATGATGAGAACCTGCGCATAGTGGTGGCTGACCTGTTCTTTGCCGGGATGGTGACCACCTCGATCACGCTGGCCTGGGGCCTCCTGCTCATGATCCTACGCCCGGATGTGCAGCGTGAGCCCAGCTGGGGCCCAGTGCAGGGGGCAAGGGAGGAAGGGTACAGGTGGGGGCCCCTGAGCTTAGCTGGGACACCCGGGACTCCAAGCACAGGCTTGGCCAGGTTCCTGTAAGCCTAACCTCCTCCAACACAGGAGGCAGGAGAGTGTCAGGGCTGGTCCCCTGGGTGCTGACCCATTGTGGGGACGCGTGTCTGTCCAGGCCGTGTCCAACAGATCGACAACGTGATAGGGCAGGTGTGGTGACCAGAGATGGGTGACCAGGCTCGCATGCCCTGCATCACTGCCGTGATTCACGAGGTGCAGCGCTTTGGGGACATCGTCCCCCTGGGTGTGACCCATATGACATCCCGTGACATCGAAGTACAGGGCTTCCGCATCCCTAAGGTAGGCCTGGCACCCTCCTCACCCCAGCTCAGCACCAGCCCCTGGTGATAGCCCCAGCATGGCCACTGCCAGGTGGGCCCAGTCTAGGAACCCTGGCCACCCAGTCCTCAATGCCACCACATCGACTGTCCCAGCCTGGGTGTGGGGTGCAGAGTATAGGCAGGGCTGGCCTGTCCATCCAGAGCCCCAGTCTAGTGGGGAAGGCAGACCAGGACCTGCCAGAATGTTGGAGGACCCCAATACCTGTAGGGAGAGGGGGTAGCGTGGGCGCTCCCAGGAGGTGTGACTGCGCCCTGCCATGGGGTCGGAGAGGGTGCTCTGGAGCTTCTCGGGCACAGGACTAGTTGACAGAGTCCAGCTGTGTGCCAGGCAGTGTGTGTCCCCTGTGTGCTTGGGGGTCCCAGCATCCTAGAGTCCAGTCCCCACTCTCACCCTGCATCTCCTGCCCAGGGGATGATGCTCTTCACCAACCTGTCATCGGTGCTGAAGGATGAGGCCGTCTGGGAGAAGCCCTTCCGCTTCCACCCCGAACACTTCCTGGATGCCCAGGGCCACTTTGTGAAGCTGGAGGCCTTCCTGCCTTTCTCAGCAGGTGCCTGTGGGGAGCCCGGCTCCCTGTCCCCTTCCGTGGAGTCTTGCAGGGGTATCACCCGGGAGCCAGGCTCACTGACGCCCCTCCCCTCCCCACAGGCCGCCGTGCATGCCTCGGGGAGCCCCTGGCCCGCATGGAGCTCTTCCTCTTCTTCACCTCCCTGCTGCAGCACTTCAGCTTCTCGGTGCCCACCGGACAGCCCCGGCCCAGCCACTCTCGTGTCGTCGGCTTTCTGGTGACGCCATCCCCCTATGAGCTTTGTGCTGTGCCCCGCTAGAGTTGCTCCTCAGCTGGGACCCTGTTGTACAATAAATTAGTCTAGTGGCTCCCACTTGGTTTCTGTATCCAGTCTGGGCCCCTGCCAAGGTCCTGGTTGTGTTGGGTCGTCAGTCACCTGCCTGATGTCAGTGCTCACCCCTCACCCCTCACCCCTCACCTCATTCATTCATTTTTTTTTTTTTTTTTTTTGAGATGGAGCCTACTCTGTCACCCAGGCTGGAGTGCAGTGGTGCAATCTCAGCTCACTGCAACCTCCGCCTCCAGAGTTCAAGCGATTCTCGTGCCTCAGCTTCCTGAGTAGCTGGGATTACAGGCACCGGGTACCACCCCCGGCTCATTTTTGTCTTTTTAGTAGTGATGGGTTTCGCCATGTTGGCCAGTCTGGTTTCAAACTCCTGACTTCACGTGACCACCAGCCTCAGCCTCCCAAAGTGCTGGGATTACAGGCGTGAGCCACCGAGACCAGCCTCACCTCATTCACTCTTACCTGGACGCCTGACTTTACTTGAGATACAGGCATAGTGATTCTCAGCAGGAAACAGCCTGCCCCCACGTCACGCCCAGAGACCCATCACTGGCTGCCTGGCTTGGTGACAAAGTCCATGCGTAAGTCTTGGCTGGGGTGGATATGAATAGGCATATGCCAAGAATCAATCCATTCCCTGGCTAGGGTGGGAGACTGTGTTGTGCTCCCCCAGACCACCCTCAGGTTCAGTGATTTCTAGAAGGTCTCACAGCCCTAGAAAAGCTGTTATTCTCCCTGTTAACAGTTTATTACAGAGAAGGGTACAGATTAAAGTCAGCAAAGATGAAAGGCACAGGGACCAGAGTCCAGAATGACCAGGCCAAGGCTGCAGCTCTCTTTTCTGGTGGACTCCTACAGGCAGTGCTTAATTCTCCCCCAACAGTAAGTGAGGCAGCAGAGAGCCCTGCCAGCCACGGAAGCTCACCTGGGCCTTGGTGTCCATGGTTTTTGTTGGGAGTTGGTCATCCTAGGCTTGAGCCCCCGCAGCATGGCTGACCTCAGTTACTCAGTCTCCAGCCCCTCCTGAAGTCAGATGGATACAGGCCTGACGGCCCCACCCTCGATCACATTGTTGGCATAAACTGTGTTGTATGGTCCAAGGCCCTAGCTATGTACAAAGACACTATTTCAGGCAGGACATTCCAAGGCCTTAGCAGATATCTCCCAGCCTCCTGTCAAGAGTCAGTTTGGACTCTTGGTCCAGTGGCTTGCATTGTGCAAGGAATGACTTCCCCACTTTTTACTACACAGGCCACCCCTCTTGGCTCTAACAGCAAAATGATATTAGTTTGAGCATCTCTGTGTGTGTGTGTGTGTGTGTGTGTGTGTGTGTGTGTGTGTGTGTGTGTTTTCTTGAGACAGGGTCTTGCTCTGTCACCGAGGCTGGAGTGCAGTGATGCCATCAGGGCTCACTGCAGCCTTGACTTCCTGGGTTCAAGCAATCCTCCCATCTCAGCCTCCCTAGTAGCTGGGACTGCAGGCACATGCCACCATGCTTTGCTAATTTTTGTGCCTTTTTGTAGAGACGGAGTTTCACCATGTTGGCCAGGCTGCTTTCGAACTCCCTATCTCAGGTCATCTGACTGCCTCAGCCCCCCAGAGTGCTGGGATTACAGGTGTAAGCTACTGTGCCCAGCCAAATTTCCTTCCTAATTTCTTCATTGAACCACTGGCCATTCCGGACCATATTGTTTAATTTTCACGTGTATGTATAGTTTCCAGAATTCCTCTTGTTGTTGATTTCCACTTTTATTCTGTTGTGGTCAGAGAAGATGCTTGATATTATTTTAACATTTGTAATGTTTTAAGACTTGCTTTGTGACCTAACATATGGTGTATCCTTGAGAATGATCCATGTGCTGAGGAGAAGAATGTGTATTCTGCAGACTTTAGACGAAGTGTTCTATAAGTATCTAGTAGGTCCATTTCTTTTGTAGTGCAGATTAAGTCTAATGTTTTCTTATTGGGTTTCCATCTGGGACACCCGTCCAATGCTGAATGTGGGGTGTTGACGTCTTTAGCTGTTATTGCGTTAACGTCTCTCTTGGGCTCCAATAACATTTGCTTTACGTGCTCCAGTGTTGTGTGCATATGTATTTACAATTGTTATATTCTGTTGCTGGATGACCTTCTTTGTCTCCTCTTACAGTTTTTTTGGTTGTTGTTGTTTGTTTGTTTTGTTTTGGAGACGGAGTCTCGCTCTGTCACCCAGGCTGGAGTGCAGTGGCGCGATCTTGGCTCACTGCAAGCTTCGCCTCCCAGGTTGACGCCATTCTCCTGCCTCAGCCTCCTGAGTAGCTGGGACTACAGGCGCCCGCCACCACGCCTGGCTAATTTTTTGTATTTTTAGTAGAGACGGGGTTTCACCATGTTAGCCAGGATAGTCTCAATCTCCTGACCTCGTGATCCGCCCGTCTTGGCCTCCCAAAGTGCTGGGATTACAGGCGTGAGCCACCACACCCGGCCTCCTCTTACAGTTTTTGTTTTAAAATCTGTTCTGTCTAAGTATTGCTACTCCTGCTCTTTTTTGTTTTCCATTGGCATGGAGTATCTTTTTCCATCCCTTTATTTTCAGTCTATGTGTATCTTTACAGGTGAAGTGTGTTTCTTCTAGACAAAAGAGCATTGAGCTTTGCTTTTTCATCCATTCAGCCACTCTGTGTCTTTGTATTGGAGAGTTTAGTCCATTTACATTCAATGTTATTATTGCTAAGCAGGGACTTACTCCTGCTATTTTGTTATTTCTTTTCTCACTGTTTTGTGGTCTTCTCTTTTTTTTTTTTTTTTTTTTTTTTTTTTTCCTTGTCTTCCTTTTAATGAAGTTGATTTTTTTCTGGTGGTATGATTTAATTTCTTGCTTTTTTGTGTGTGTGTATCCATTGTGTGTTTTTTCTTCTTTTCTTTTTGAGACACAGTCTCACTTATTGTGTGCTTTTTGATTTGAGGTTGCCGTGAGGCTTGCAAATATTATCTTATAACTCATTATTTTAAACGGATGACAACACTGATTGCGTAAACAAACATAAAGCAAAAGGAAGACTAATAAAAACTCTACACTTTAAGTTCATCTTAGTGCTTTTTAACTTTTTGTTGTTTCTCTTTTTTTGTTTTTGAGATAAAGTCTTGCTCTGTTGCCCAGGCTAGAGTGCAGTGGCACGATCTCAGCTCACTGTAACCTCCACTTCCCAGGTTCAACCGATTCTCCTGCCTCAGCCTCCTGGGTAGCAGGCGCCCACCACCATGCCCAGCTAAATTTTTTGTATTTTTAGTAGAGATGGGGTTTCACCATGTTGGCCAGGCTTGTCTCGAACTCCTGCCCTCAGGTGATCCACCCACCTCAGCCTTACAAAGTGCTGGGATTACCTGCGTGAGCCACCGGGTCCGGCCTCTTTATGTCTTACTGTACTGTCTGTCTTGAAAAGTACTTATTATTTTTGATTGGTTCATCATTTAGTCTAATTAAAATAAGAGTAGTTTACACACCACAATTACAGTATTATAATACTCTGTTTTTCTGTGTGCTTACTATTACCAGTGAGTTTTGTACCTTTAGATGATTTCTTCTTGCTCATTAATATCCTTTTTTTTTTCAGATTGAAAAACTCCCTTTAGCATTTCTTGTGGGATATAGGTCTGGTGTTGATGAAATCTCGCAGCTTTTGTTTGTCTGGGAAGGTCTTTATTTCTCCTTCCTGTTGGAAGGATATTTTTGCCAGATACGTTATTCTCGGCTAAAAGTTTTTTTTCCTTCAGCACTTTAAATATGTCATGCCACTCCCCCCTGGCCTGTAAGGTTTCCACTGGAAAGGTGGCTGCCCCATGTCATGTATTGGAGCTCTACTGCATGTTATTTGTTTCTTTTCTCTTGCTGCTTTTAGGATCCTTTCTTTATCCTTGACCTTTCGGAGTTTAATTATCAGATGCCTTGAGGTCGTCTTCTTTGGGTTAAATCTGCTTGGTGTTCTATAAACTTCTTGTACAAAAAATCAGCCAGGCATGGTGGTGGGCACCTGTAATCCCAGCTACTTGGGAGGCTGAGGCAGGAGAATCGCTTGAACCCTGGAGGTGGAGGTTGCAGTGAGCCGAGATCGCATCATTGCACTCCCACCTGGGCGACAGAGCAAAACTCCGTCTCAAAAAAAAAATTATTTGGGCTCGGTGGTGCCTGTAGTCCCAGCTACTTGGGAGGCAGGAGGTCCACTTGATGTTGAGATTGCAGTGAGCCGTGATCCTGCCACTGCACTCCGGCCCGGGCAACAGAGTGAGACCCTGTCTAAAGAAAAAATAAAAATAAAAAAGCAACATATCCTAAATAAAGGATCCTCCATAATGTTTCCACCAGATTTCTAATCAGAAACATGGAGGCCAGGAAGCAGTGGAGAATGACGACCCTCAGGCAGCCCTGGAGGATGCTGTCACAGGCTGGGGCAAGGGCCTTCAGGCTACCAACTGGGAGCTCTGGGAACAGCCCTGTTGCAAACAGGAAGCCATGGCCCGGCCAGAGCCCAGAATGTGGGCTGAGCTGGGATCCACGTGACAGCTTTGAGGCTCACTGGGAGCAGCCTCTGGACAGGAGAGGTCCCATCCAGGAAACCTTGGGCATGGCTGGGAAGTGGGGTACTTGGTGCCGGGTCTGTATGTGTGTGTGACTGGTGTGTGTGAGAGAGAATGTGTGCCCTGAGTGTCAGTGTGAGTCTGTGTATGTGTGAATATTGTCTTTGTGTGGGTGATTTTCTGCATGTGTAATCGTGTCCCTGCAAGTGTGAACAAGTGGACAAGTGTCTGGGAGTGGACAAGAGATCTGTGCACCATCAGGTGTGTGCATAGCGTCTGTGCATGTCAAGAGTGCAAGGTGAAGTGAAGGGACCAGGCCCATGATGCCACTCATCATCAGGAGCTCTAAGGCCCCAGGTAAGTGCCAGTGACAGATAAGGGTGCTGAAGGTCACTCTGGAGTGGGCAGGTGGGGGTAGGGAAAGGGCAAGGCCATGTTCTGGAGGAGGGGTTGTGACTACATTACGGTGTATGAGCCTAGCTGGGAGGTGGATGGCCGGGTCCACTGAGACCCTGGTTATCCCAGAAGCCTGTGTGGGCTTGGGGAGCTTGGAGTGGGGAGAGGGGGTGACTTCTCCGACCAGGCCTTTCTACCACCCTACCCTGGGTAAGGGCCTGGAGCAGGAAGCAGCGGCAAGGACCTCTGGAGCAGCCCATACCCACCCTGGCCTGACTCTGCCACTGGCAGCACAGTCAACACAGCAGGTTCACTCACAGCAGAGGGCGAAGGCCATCATCAGCTCCCTTTATAAGGGAAGGGTCACGCGCTCGGTGTGCTGAGAGTGTCCTGCCTGGTCCTCTGTGCCTGGTGGGGTGGGGGTGCCAGGTGTGTCCAGAGGAGCCCAGTTGGTAGTGAGGCAGCCATGGGGCTAGAAGCACTGGTGCCCCTGGCCATGATAGTGGCCATCTTCCTGCTCCTGGTGGACCTGATGCACCGGCACCAACGCTGGGCTGCACGCTACCCGCCAGGTCCCCTGCCACTGCCCGGGCTGGGCAACCTTGCTGCATGTGGACTTCCAGAACACACCATACTGCTTCGACCAGGTGAGGGAGGAGGTCCTGGAGGGCGGCAGAGGTCCTGAGGATGCCCCACCACCAGCAAACATGGGTGGTGGGTTAAACCACAGGCTGGATCAGAAGCCAGGCTGAGAAGGGGAAGCAGGTTTGGGGGACGTCCTGGGGAAGGACATTTATACATGGCATGAAGGACTGGATTTTCCAAAGGCCAAGGAAGAGTAGGGCAAGGGCCTGGAGGTGGAGCTGGACTTGGCAGTGGGCATGCAAGCCCATTGGGCAACATATGTTATGGAGTACAAAGTCCCTTCTGCTGACACCAGAAGGAAAGGCCTTGGGAATGGAAGATGAGTTAGTCCTGAGTGCCGTTTAAATCACGAAATCGAGGATGAAGGGGGTGCAGTGACCCGGTTCAAACCTTTTGCACTGTGGGTCCTCGGGCCTCACTGCTCACCGGCATGGACCATCATCTGGGAATGGGATGCTAACTGGGGCCTCTCGGCAATTTTGGTGACTCTTGCAAGGTCATACCTGGGTGACGCATCCAAACTGAGTTCCTCCATCACAGAAGGTGTGACCCCCACCCCCGCCCCAGGATCAGGAGGCTGGGTCTCCTCCTTCCACCTGCTCACTCCTGGTAGCCCCGGGGGTCGTCCAAGGTTCAAATAGGACTAGGACCTGTAGTCTGGGGGGATCCTGGCTTGACAAGAGGCCCTGACCCTCCCTCTGCAGTTGCGGCGCCGCTTCGGGGACGTGTTCAGCCTGCAGCTGGCCTGGACGCCGGTGGTCGTGCTCAATGGGCTGGCGGCCGTGCGCGAGGCGATGGTGACCCGCGGCGAGGACACGGCCGACCGCCCGCCTGCGCCCATCTACCAGGTCCTGGGCTTCGGGCCGCGTTCCCAAGGCAAGCGGCGGTGGGGGACAGAGACCGCGTTTCCGTGGGCCCCGGGTGGACAGTGACCGTAGCCCAAGCAGCGCCGACAGGGCGTGGGGTCCTGGACGTGAAACAGAGATAAAGGCCAGCGAGTGGGCTGAGGACAGTGGGCCAGGAAACCACCTGCACGGGGGAGGTGCGAGTCTGTGGGCTGGGAGGGGGCGGGGCTACTGCCCAGACCCGCCAGAAGCCCGGTGGGCGAGGCTGATGCGTCGAAGTGGCGGTGGCGGGGACCGCGCCTATGCTGCGGGCTCAGTGTGGGCGGGACGGGCGGGATCTTCCTTGAGTGGAAAGGTGGTCAGGGTGGGCAGAGACGAGGTGGGGCCAAACCCCGCCCCAGGCAGGGGAGCAATGTGGGTGAGCAAAGAGTGGGCCCTGTGCCCAGCTGGACCGGGCTAGGGACTGCGGGAGACCTTGTGGAGCGCCAGGGTTGGAGTGGGTGGCGGAGGGTGGGGCCAAGGCCTTCATGGCAACGCCCACGTGTCCGTCCCGCCCACAGGGGTGATCCTGTCGCGCTATGGGCCCGCGTGGCGCGAGCAGAGGCGCTTCTCCGTGTCCACCTTGCGCAACTTGGGCCTGGGCAAGAAGTCGCTGGAGCAGTGGGTGACCGAGGAGGCCGCCTGCCTTTGTGCCGCCTTCGCCGACCAAGCCGGTGGGTGATGGGCAGAAGGGCACACAGCGGGAACTGGGAAGGCGGGGGACGGAGAAGGCGACCCCTTACCCGCATCTCCCACCCCCAGGACGCCCCTTTCGCCCCAACGGTCTCTTGGACAAAGCCGTGAGCAACGTGATCGCCTCCCTCACCTGCGGGCGCCGCTTCGAGTACGACGACCCTCGCTTCCTCAGGCTGCTGGACCTAGCTCAGGGAGGGATCGAAGGAGGAGTCGGGCTTCCTGCGCGAGGTGCGGAGCAAGGGTCTTTGCAGGGCGAGCTCCTGAGAGGTGCCGGGGCTGGACTGGGGCCTCCGAAGGGCAGGATTTGCGTAGATGGGTTTGGGAAAGGACATTCCAGGAGACCCCACTGTAAGAAGGGCCTGGAGGAGGAGGGGACATCTCAGACATGGTCGTGGGAGAGGTGTGCCCGGGTCAGGGGGCACCAGGAGAGGCCAAGGACTCTGTACCCCCGTCCACGTTGGAGATTTCGATTTTAGGTTTCTCCTCTGGGCAAGGAGAGAGAGGGTGGAGGCTGGCACTTGGGGAGGGACTTGGTGAGGTCAGTGGTAAGGACAGGCAGGCCCTGGGTCTTCCTGGAGATGGCTGGGGCCTGAGACTGGTCCAGATGAACGCAGAGCACAGGAAGGATTGAGACCCGGTTCTGTCTGGTGTAGGTGCTGAATGCTGTCCCCGTCCTCCCGCACATCCCAGCGCTGGCTGGCAAGGTCCTACGCTTCCAAAAGGCTTTCCTGACCCAGCTGGATGAGCTGCTAACTGAGCACAGGATGACCTGGGACCCAGCCCAGCCACCCCGAGACCTGACTGAGGCCTTCCTGGCAAAGAAGGAGAAGGTGAGAGTGGCTGCCACGGTGGGGGGCAAGGGTGGTGGGTTGAACGTCCCAGGAGGAATGAGGGGAGGCTGGGCAAAAGGTTGGACCAGTGCATCACCCGGCGAGCCGCATCTGGGCTGACAGGTGCAGAATTGGAGGTCATTTGGGGGCTACCCCGTTCTATCCCCTGAGTATCCTCTCGGCCCTGCTCAGGCCAAGGGGAGCCCTGAGAGCAGCTTCAATGATGAGAACCTGCGCATAGTGGTGGGTAACCTGTTCCTTGCCGGGATGGTGACCACCTTGACCACGCTGGCCTGGGGCCTCCTGCTCATGATCCTACACCTGGATGTGCAGCGTGAGCCCAGCTGGGGCCCAAGGCAGGGACTGAGGGAGGAAGGGTACAGCTGGGGGCCCCTGGGCTTAGCTGGGACACCCGGGGCTTCCAGCACAGGCGTGGCCAGGCTCCTGTAAGCCTAACTTCCTCCAACACAGGAGGAAGGAGAGTGTCCCCTGGGTGCTGACCCATTGTGGGGACGCATGTCTGTCCAGTCCGTGTCCAACAGGAGATCGACGACGTGATAGGGCAGGTGCGGCGACCAGAGATGGGTGACCAGGCTCACATGCCCTACACCACTGCCGTGATTCATGAGGTGCAGCACTTTGGGGACATCGTCCCCCTGGGTGTGACCCATATGACATCCCGTGACATCGAAGTACAGGGCTTCCGCATCCCTAAGGTAGGCCTGGCGCCCTCCTCACCCCAGCTCAGCACCAGCCCCTGGTGATAGCCCCAGCATGGCTACTGCCAGGTGGGCCCACTCTAGGAACCCTGGCCACCTAGTCCTCAATGCCACCACACTGACTGTCCCCACTTGGGTGGGGGGTCCAGAGTATAGGCAGGGCTGGCCTGTCCATCCAGAGCCCCCGTCTAGTGGGGAGACAAACCAGGACCTGCCAGAATGTTGGAGGACCCAGCGCCTGCAGGGAGAGGGGGCAGTGTGGGTGCCTCTGAGAGGTGTGACTGCGCCCTGCTGTGGGGTCGGAGAGGGTACTGTGGAGCTTCTCGGGCGCAGGACTAGTTGACAGAGTCCAGCTGTGTGCCAGGCAGTGTGTGTCCCCCGTGTGTTTGGTGGCAGGGGTCCCAGCATCCTAGAGTCCAGTCCCCACTCTCACCCTGCATCTCCTGCCCAGGGAACGACACTCATCACCAACCTGTCATCGGTGCTGAAGGATGAGGCCGTCTGGGAGAAGCCCTTCCGCTTCCACCCCGAACACTTCCTGGATGCCCAGGGCCACTTTGTGAAGCCGGAGGCCTTCCTGCCTTTCTCAGCAGGTGCCTGTGGGGAGCCCGGCTCCCTGTCCCCTTCCGTGGAGTCTTGCAGGGGTATCACCCAGGAGCCAGGCTCACTGACGCCCCTCCCCTCCCCACAGGCCGCCGTGCATGCCTCGGGGAGCCCCTGGCCCGCATGGAGCTCTTCCTCTTCTTCACCTCCCTGCTGCAGCACTTCAGCTTCTCCGTGGCCGCCGGACAGCCCCGGCCCAGCCACTCTCGTGTCGTCAGCTTTCTGGTGACCCCATCCCCCTATGAGCTTTGTGCTGTGCCCCGCTAGAATGGGGTACCTAGTCCCCAGCCTGTTCCCTAGCCAGAGGCTCTAATGTACAATAAAGCAATGTGGTAGTTCCAACTCGGGTCCCCTGCTCACGCCCTCGTTGGGATCATCCTCCTCAGGGCAACCCCACCCCTGCCTCATTCCTGCTTACCCCACCGCCTGGCCGCATTTGAGACGGGTACGTTGAGGCTGAGCAGATGTCAGTTACCCTTGCCCATAATCCCGTGTCCCCCACTGACCCAACTCTGACTGCCCAGATTGGTGACAAGGACTACATTGTCCTGGCATGTGGGGAAGGGGCCAGAATGGGCTGACTAGAGGTGTCAGTCAGCCCTGGATGTGGTGGAGAGGGCAGGACTCAGCCTGGAGGCCCATATTTCAGGCCTAACTCAGCCCACCCCACATCAGGGACAGCAGTCCTGCCAGCACCATCACAACAGTCACCTCCCTTCATATATGACACCCCAAAATGGAAGACAAATCATGTCAGGGAGCTATATGCCAGGGCTACCTCCCAGGGCTCAGTCGGCAGGTGCCAGAACATTCCCTGGGAAGGCCCCAGGAAAACCCAGGACCGAGCCACCGCCCTCAGCCTGTCACCTTGTGTCCAAAATTGGTGGGTTCTTGGTCTCACTGACTTCAAGAATGAAGCTGTGGACCCTCACGGTGAGTGTTACAGTTCTTAAAGATGGTGTGTTCAGAGTTTGTTCCTTCTGATGTTAAGACGTGTTCAGAGTTTCTTCCTTCTGGTGGGTGCGTGGTCTTGCTGGCTTCAGGAGTGAAGCTGCAGACCTTCACAGTGAGTGTTACGGCTCTTAAGGCTGCACGTACGGAGTTGTTCATTCTTCCTGGTGGGTTTGTGGTCTCACTGGCCTCAGGAGTGAAACTGCAGTCCTTCCAGTGTTACAACTCATAAAGGCAGTGTGGACCCAATGAGGGAGCAGCAGCAGCAAGACTTACTGCAAACAGCAAAAGAATGATGGCAACCAGGTTGCCGCTGCTACTTCAGGCAGCCTGCTTTTATTCCCTTATCTGACCCCCACCCACATCCTGCTGATTGGCCCATTTTACAGACAGTGGATTGGTCCACTTACAGAGAGCTGATTGGTGCATTTACAATCCCTGAGCTAGACACAGAGTACTGATTGGTATATTTACAAACCTTGAGCTAGACACAGAGTGCTGAATGGTGTATTTACAATCCCTTAGCTAGACATAAAGGTTGTCCCAGTCCCCACTAGATTAGCTAGATAGAGTAGACAGAGAGCACTGATTGGTGCGTTTACAAACCTTGAGTTAGACACAGGGTGCTGACTGGTGTGTTTACAAACCCTGAGCTAGACACAGAGTGCTGATTGGTGTATTTACAATCTTTTAGCTAGAAATAAAGGTTCCCCAAGTCCCCACCAGATTAGCTAGATACAGAGTGCTAATTGGTGCATGCACGAACCCGGAGCTAGACACAGAGTGCTGATTGGTGCATATACAATCCTCTGGCTAGACATAAAAGTTCTCCAAGTCCCCACCTGACTCAGGAGCCCAGCCAGCTTCGCCTAGTGGATCCTATGCCAGGGCCACAGGCAGAGCTGCCTGCTAGTCCCACACCAGGCACCTGTACTCCTCAGCCCTTGGGCAGTGGACGGGACCAGGTGCCGTGGAGCAGTGGGAGGCACCCATCCGGGAGGCTTGGGCCTCGCAGGGAGCCCACCGTAGGGAGGCTTGGGCATGGCAGGCTGCAAGTCCTGAGCCCTGCCCCGCGGGGAGGTGACTGAGGCCTGGCGACAATTCAAGTGTGGTGAGCGCCGGCAGGCCAGCAGTACTGGGGGACCCGGTGCCCCCTCTGCAGCTGCTGGCCCAGGTGCTAAGCCCCTCACTGCCTGGGGCCAGAGGCACCAGCCGGCCGCTCCGAGTGCAGGGCCCGCTGAGCCCCTGCCCACCCAGAACTGGTGCTGGCCCGCGAGCAACCCAGGTTCCCGCACACGCCTCTCCCTCCATACCTCCCCGCAAGCAGACGGAGCCGGCTCCAGCCTCCACCAGTCCAGAGAGGGGCTCCCACAGTGCAGCGCTGGGCTGAAGGGCTCCTCAAGTGTGGTCAGAGCAGAAGCTGAGGCCGAGGAGGCGCTGAGAGCGAGCGAGGACCGCCAGCACGTTGACACCTCTCAACCTCACCACAGGACTGGCCACCTCTCTGGGCCCTCAGGGATGCTGCTGTCTGGACCCCTGACCAGTGACGAGTTCGCACTCAGGGCCAGGCTGGCGCTGGAGGAGGACACTTGTTTGGCTCCAACCCTAGGTACCATCCTCCCAGTAGGGATCAGGCAGGGCCCACAGGCCTGCCCTAGGGACAGGAGTCAACCTTGGACCCATAAGGCACTGGGGCGGGCAGAGAAGGAGGAGGTGGCATGGGCAGCTGAGAGCCAGAGACCCTGACCCTAGTCCTTGCTCTGCCATTACCCCGTGTGACCCCGGGCCCACCCTTCCCCACCCTTCCCCACCCCGGGCTTCTGTTTCCCTTCTGCCAACGAGAAGGCTGCTTCACCTGCCCCGAGTCCTGTCTTCCTGCTCTGCCTTCTGGGGCTGTGGCCCTTGCTGGCCTGGAGCCCCAACCAAGGGCAGGGACTGCTGTCCTCCACATCTGTCCTCACCGACATAATGGGCTGGGCTGGGCACACAGGCAGTGCCCAAGAGTTTCTAATGAGCATATGATTACCTGAGTCCTGGGCAGACCTTCTTAGGGAACAGCCTGGGACAGAGAACCACAGACACTCTGAGGAGCCACCTGAGGCCTCTTTTGCCAGAGGACCCTACAGCCTCCCTGGCAGCAGTTCCGCCAGCATTTCTGTAAATGCCCTCATGCCAGGGTGCGGCCCGGCTGTCAGCACGAGAGGGACGTTGGTCTGTCCCCTGGCACCGAGTCAGTCAGAAGGGTGGCCAGGGCCCCCTTGGGCCCCTCCAGAGACAATCCACTGTGGTCACACGGCTCGGTGGCAGGAAGTGCTGTTCCTGCAGCTGTGGGGACAGGGAGTGTGGATGAAGCCAGGCTGGGTTTGTCTGAAGACGGAGGCCCCGAAAGGTGGCAGCCTGGCCTATAGCAGCAGCAACTCTTGGATTTATTGGAAAGATTTTCTTCACGGTTCTGAGTCTTGGGGGTGTTAGAGGCTCAGAACCAGTCCAGCCAGAGCTCTGTCATGGGCACGTAGACCCGGTCCCAGGGCCTTTGCTCTTTGCTGTCCTCAGAGGCCTCTGCAAAGTAGAAACAGGCAGCCTTGTGAGTCCCCTCCTGGGAGCAACCAACCCTCCCTCTGAGATGCCCCGGGGCCAGGTCAGCTGTGGTGAAAGGTAGGGATGCAGCCAGCTCAGGGGAGTGGCCCAGAGTTCCTGCCCACCCAAGGAGGCTCCCAGGAAGGTCAAGGCACCTGACTCCTGGGCTGCTTCCCTCCCCTCCCCTCCCCAGGTCAGGAAGGTGGGAAAGGGCTGGGGTGTCTGTGACCCTGGCAGTCACTGAGAAGCAGGGTGGAAGCAGCCCCCTGCAGCACGCTGGGTCAATGGTCTTACCAGATGGATACGCAGCAACTTCCTTTTGAACCTTTTTATTTTCCTGGCAGGAAGAAGAGGGATCCAGCAGTGAGATCAGGCAGGTTCTGTGTTGCACAGACAGGGAAACAGGCTCTGTCCACACAAAGTCGGTGGGGCCAGGATGAGGCCCAGTCTGTTCACACATGGCTGCTGCCTCTCAGCTCTGCACAGACGTCCTCGCTCCCCTGGGATGGCAGCTTGGCCTGCTGGTCTTGGGGTTGAGCCAGCCTCCAGCACTGCCTCCCTGCCCTGCTGCCTCCCACTCTGCAGTGCTCCATGGCTGCTCAGTTGGACCCACGCTGGAGACGTTCAGTCGAAGCCCCGGGCTGTCCTTACCTCCCAGTCTGGGGTACCTGCCACCTCCTGCTCAGCAGGAATGGGGCTAGGTGCTTCCTCCCCTGGGGACTTCACCTGCTCTCCCTCCTGGGATAAGACGGCAGCCTCCTCCTTGGGGGCAGCAGCATTCAGTCCTCCAGGTCTCCTGGGGGTCGTGACCTGCAGGAGGAATAAGAGGGCAGACTGGGCAGAAAGGCCTTCAGAGCACCTCATCCTCCTGTTCTCACACTGGGGTGTCACAGTCCTGGGAAGTTCTTCCTTTTCAGTTGAGCTGTGGTAACCTTGTGAGTTTCCTGGAGGGGGCCTGCCACTACCCTTGGGACTCCCTGCCGTGTGTCTGGGTCTAACTGAGCTCTGAAAGGAGAGAGCCCCAGCCCTGGGCCTTCCAGGGGAAGCCTTACCTCAGAGGTTGGCTTCTTCCTACTCTTGACTTTGCGTCTCTGCAGAGGGAGGTGGGAGGGGTGACACAACCCTGACACCCACACTATGAGTGATGAGTAGTCCTGCCCCGACTGGCCCATCCTTTCCAGGTGCAGTCCCCCTTACTGTGTCTGCCAAGGGTGCCAGCACAGCCGCCCCACTCCAGGGGAAGAGGAGTGCCAGCCCTTACCCACCTGAGTGGGCACAGTGTAGCATTTATTCATTAGCCCCCACACTGGCCTGACCATCTCCCCTGTGGGCTGCATGACAAGGAGAGAGAACAGGCTGAGGTGAGAGCTACTGTCAACACCTAAACCTAAAAAATCTATAATTGGGCTGGGCAGGGTGGCTCACGCCTGTAATCCCAGCACTTTGGGAGGCCGAGATGGGTGGATCACCTGAGGTCAGATGTTCGAGACCAGCCTGGCCAACATGGTGAAACCCCGTCTCTACTAAAAATACAAAAAATTAGCTGGGCGTGGTGGTGGGTGCCTGTAATCCCAGCTACTCAGGAGGCTGAGGCAGGAGAATTGCTTGAACCTGGGAGGCAGAGGTTGCAGTGAGCCGAGATCACACCATTGCACTCCAGTCTGGGTGATAAGTATGAAACGCCATCTCCAAAACAAAAGAAAAGCCTAATTCCCCAAGAACTGTCAGTCTTTCACCTGTCTGCTAGCTCCCAGGGAGACCCCACTTGCCAGGGCTGTCTACATTTGTCCTGAGATCTCTTCTGGTGGGAACAGCACTTTCCTCAGGAAAGTTTGTTGAAAGTCATCAGATCCATGATTGAAAATCGAAGCTGCCTGTGGTGATGGATAACAGCTGGGGTTAAAAAGCAGCAGCTGGGGCATGAGCGGTCCACAGTGAGTTTTTGTTGTTGTTTTTGTTTTTTTGGGTGGGGGATGGGGTCTTGCTAGGTCTCAAACTCCTGGCCTCAAGTCATCCTCCCATTACAGCCTTCTGAGTCACTGACACTACAGGTGTGAGCCACCATGTCCAGCTTGTAGTGGTTTTGAACAGCTCTTGCCCCTTCTTGGGAATCTAGGTGCCCTGCACGTGGGTAAGGCTGTCTGCAGCTGTGCCCATATTCAGGAAGGCCGGCAAGGCCCTGAGCCCTCACCCGTGACTGACCTGAGGTGCTGTGCAGACAGCAGGTGACGGCTAAGGGAAAGTTGAGCACTGCCTAGCCGAGCACTGAAGCCACGCCCGGCACACAGAGAGAGACCCACTCGGCAAAGACTTCGCTTCCAGGCACCTAAGGAACTCTCTGACCAGTCATTAGCTGACCACTGCCGTAACTGAAGAGCGGCTTCAGTGGCCACAGCTCGCAGGGAATGGAGACATTAATGCTTAGTCAGAATTAGTTCAGAAAAGTCACCCAGCAAAGAAACAGCTCCAACAGGCAACAACAACAACACATCCTTGGCAGGGAAGAGAATCTGACTTCCGGAGTTGCCACATTATCGCCCGTGAAATGTCCAGGTTTTAACAAATTATGAGACATGGAAAGGAAACCGAAAGGACGACCCAGACACGGGAAAAGTCACCAATGGGACCAGCCCGATGCTGCAATTGCTAGACAAAGACGTTCAGTCAGCTCATTTAAATATGTTCAAAGACCTAAAACATGCTGCATCTGAGGCTGCACCGGCTGGAACCTGCTGATCTCGGAAGCTAAGCATGGTCAGGCCTGGCTAGTACTTCAAAGGGAGAAACCACGTGTAGGCCTGGTGCAGTGGCTCACACCTATAATCCTAGCACTCTGGGAAGCTGAGGCCCGTGGATTGCTTGAGCCCAGGAGTTTGAGAGCAGCTTGGGAAATGTGGTGAGACCCCCATCTCTACAAAAAATTTAAAAAATTAGCTGGCTGCCTATGGTCCCAGCCTCTCAGGATGCTGAGGTAGGAGGATCACTTCAGCCCAGGAAGTTGAGGCTGCAGTGAGCCATGACTGCATCACTGCACTCCAGCTTGGGCGACAGAGAGACCCTCTCCCAAGAAAAAGAAAAGAACCATGTCAAAAGAACTAACGAAAGTGTGGGAACAATGTCTCACCAATTAGAGAATATCAATAATGGGATGAACCTTATAAAAAGGGGCTGGGCATGGTGGCTCATGCCTATAATCCCAGCACTTTGGGAGGCTGAGGCGGGCATATCATGAGGTCAAGAGATTGAGACCAGCCTGGCCAACATGGTGAAACCCCGTCTCTACTTAAAATACAAAAATTAGCCGGGCGTGGTGGCACGTGCCTGTAATCCCAGCTACTCGGGAGGCTGAGGCAGGAGAATCGCTTGAACCCGAGAGGCAGAGATTGCAGTGAGCCGAGATTGCACCACTGCACTACAGCCTGGGTGACAGAGCGATACTCCAAAAAACAAAACAAAACAAAAAACAAAAAAAAAGTTTAAAAAGGAACCAAATAAAAATTCTGGAGTTGTAGGGTAAAATAAATGAAAATTCATCCCAGGGGCCCAAGAGCAGATTGGAACAATTGGAAGAAAGAGCCTGTGACTATGGAGAGAGGCCACCTGAGGTAGTCCCCTCTGAGGAACAGGAACAAGCATGAAGAGCAATGCACAGAGATCCAGAGACCTGGAGACGCCGTCAAGCTTTCCGACATACACACAATGGGAGTCCCAGGAAAGAAGACAGGGAGAAAGGAGTAAAGGAATAGTTGAAGAATTAATGGCTGAAAAACCTCCCAAATCTGATGAAAAATATTAATCCGTACATCCAAAAAGCTCATCAAACTCCAAGTAGGGTAAACTCAAAGAGATCTTCAGCCATACGCATCATCATAATCACTGTCAAAAGACAGATTTTTCTTTTTTTAGAATTTTAAATGTACCTTTTAATTTGCTCCTGGGGCAAAGAGCCAGGACTGGTACTAGAGCAGTGTCTGGGATGAGAAGAATTTAATAAAATGGGATTAGGTCCAATGGTTGGGTTAGGGGAGGCAACCTGCTCGGAAGGATCAGCCTCAACCTATCCATGCAGCAGGGCCTCCACCTGTCCCTCTCCGTAGTCCCACACCTGGAACCCAGAGCCATCTGCCTCTTCCCAGATCATGGCCGACAGCACTCCACCGGACTGCTGCTGGAGCAGGCACAGGATTCACTTATTGAGGGCTGTGGCCTGGCACAGATCATAGCCTATACCCAGGGACAGTTGTGTCACTTCTGCCACCACCACATCCGCCTTCTGCAGCCACATCAAGTACCACTCATGGATGAGCCCGTCACCCCCAGCGGACTTATCAACCCCGCGTCCAGCTCCACAGCCGCCACGTGCTCGGTGAGCACTGGCTCCAAGCATGGCAGCTGCCATACAATCCACCTGTAGAGGGCCCGGTCCTCCTGTCCTCAGTGGATGATCCCGTAGAAGTCCAGAGCTCGGCAGCTGCCCTCCCACAAAAGACAGGATTTTGAAAGCAGCAAGAGAGAAGAGACGTATCAGGTAGTCACAGTGGCTCAGGCCTGTAATCCCAGCACTTTGGGAGGCCCAGGTGGGAGGATCGCTTCACCCCAGGAATTCAAGACCAGCCTGGACAACTTGGAAGAACCCGGTCTCTACAAAAAATACAAAATTAGCTGGGATTGGGTGCGGTGGCTCATGCCTATAATCCCAGCACTTTGGGAGCCTGAGGTGGGTGGATCACCTGAAGTCAGGAGTTCAAGACTAGCCTGGCCAACATGGTGAAACCCTATCTCTACTGAAAATATAAAAAGCTAGACGTGGTGGCACACACCTGTAATCCCAGCTACTTAGGAGGCTGAGGCAGGAGAATTGCTTGAAGCCTAGAGGTGAAGGTTGTAGTGAGCCGAGATTGCATCATTGCACAATGGAGGGGAGCCACCAGCCTGGGCAACAAGAGGAAATCTCCGTCTCCAAAAAAAAAAAAAAAAAAAAAAAAGGATTAGGCTGGGTGGTGCCTGTAGTCCCAGCTACTTGGGAGGCAGGGGGTCCACTTGATGTCGAGACTGCAGTGAGCCATGATCCTGCCACTGCACTCCGGCCTGGGCAACAGAGTGAGACCCTGTCTAAAGAAAAAAAAAATAAAGCAACATATCCTGAACAAAGGATCCTCCATAACGTTCCCACCAGATTTCTAATCAGAAACATGGAGGCCAGAAAGCAGTGGAGGAGGACAACCCTCAGGCAGCCCGGGAGGATGTTGTCACAGGCTGGGGCAAGGGCCTTCCGGCTACCAACTGGGAGCTCTGGGAACAGCCCTGTTGCAAACAAGAAGCCATAGCCCGGCCAGAGCCCAGGAATGTGGGCTGGGCTGGGAGCAGCCTCTGGACAGGAGTGGTCCCATCCAGGAAACCTCCGGCATGGCTGGGAAGTGGGGTACTTGGTGCCGGGTCTGTATGTGTGTGTGACTGGTGTGTGTGAGAGAGAATGTGTGCCCTAAGTGTCAGTGTGAGTCTGTGTATGTGTGAATATTGTCTTTGTGTGGGTGATTTTCTGCGTGTGTAATCGTGTCCCTGCAAGTGTGAACAAGTGGACAAGTGTCTGGGAGTGGACAAGAGATCTGTGCACCATCAGGTGTGTGCATAGCGTCTGTGCATGTCAAGAGTGCAAGGTGAAGTGAAGGGACCAGGCCCATGATGCCACTCATCATCAGGAGCTCTAAGGCCCCAGGTAAGTGCCAGTGACAGATAAGGGTGCTGAAGGTCACTCTGGAGTGGGCAGGTGGGGGTAGGGAAAGGGCAAGGCCATGTTCTGGAGGAGGGGTTGTGACTACATTAGGGTGTATGAGCCTAGCTGGGAGGTGGATGGCCGGGTCCACTGAAACCCTGGTTATCCCAGAAGGCTTTGCAGGCTTCAGGAGCTTGGAGTGGGGAGAGGGGGTGACTTCTCCGACCAGGCCCCTCCACCGGCCTACCCTGGGTAAGGGCCTGGAGCAGGAAGCAGGGGCAAGAACCTCTGGAGCAGCCCATACCCGCCCTGGCCTGACTCTGCCACTGGCAGCACAGTCAACACAGCAGGTTCACTCACAGCAGAGGGCAAAGGCCATCATCAGCTCCCTTTATAAGGGAAGGGTCACGCGCTCGGTGTGCTGAGAGTGTCCTGCCTGGTCCTCTGTGCCTGGTGGGGTGGGGGTGCCAGGTGTGTCCAGAGGAGCCCATTTGGTAGTGAGGCAGGTATGGGGCTAGAAGCACTGGTGCCCCTGGCCGTGATAGTGGCCATCTTCCTGCTCCTGGTGGACCTGATGCACCGGCGCCAACGCTGGGCTGCACGCTACTCACCAGGCCCCCTGCCACTGCCCGGGCTGGGCAACCTGCTGCATGTGGACTTCCAGAACACACCATACTGCTTCGACCAGGTGAGGGAGGAGGTCCTGGAGGGCGGCAGAGGTGCTGAGGCTCCCCTACCAGAAGCAAACATGGATGGTGGGTGAAACCACAGGCTGGACCAGAAGCCAGGCTGAGAAGGGGAAGCAGGTTTGGGGGACTTCCTGGAGAAGGGCATTTATACATGGCATGAAGGACTGGATTTTCCAAAGGCCAAGGAAGAGTAGGGCAAGGGCCTGGAGGTGGAGCTGGACTTGGCAGTGGGCATGCAAGCCCATTGGGCAACATATGTTATGGAGTACAAAGTCCCTTCTGCTGACACCAGAAGGAAAGGCCTTGGGAATGGAAGATGAGTTAGTCCTGAGTGCCGTTTAAATCACGAAATCGAGGATGAAGGGGGTGCAGTGACCCGGTTCAAACCTTTTGCACTGTGGGTCCTCGGGCCTCACTGCTCACCGGCATGGACCATCATCTGGGAATGGGATGCTAACTGGGGCCTCTCGGCAATTTTGGTGACTCTTGCAAGGTCATACCTGGGTGACGCATCCAAACTGAGTTCCTCCATCACAGAAGGTGTGACCCCCACCCCCGCCCCAGGATCAGGAGGCTGGGTCTCCTCCTTCCACCTGCTCACTCCTGGTAGCCCCGGGGGTCGTCCAAGGTTCAAATAGGACTAGGACCTGTAGTCTGGGGGGATCCTGGCTTGACAAGAGGCCCTGACCCTCCCTCTGCAGTTGCGGCGCCGCTTCGGGGACGTGTTCAGCCTGCAGCTGGCCTGGACGCCGGTGGTCGTGCTCAATGGGCTGGCGGCCGTGCGCGAGGCGATGGTGACCCGCGGCGAGGACACGGCCGACCGCCCGCCTGCGCCCATCTACCAGGTCCTGGGCTTCGGGCCGCGTTCCCAAGGCAAGCGGCGGTGGGGGACAGAGACCGCGTTTCCGTGGGCCCCGGGTGGACAGTGACCGTAGCCCAAGCAGCGCCGACAGGGCGTGGGGTCCTGGACGTGAAACAGAGATAAAGGCCAGCGAGTGGGCTGAGGACAGTGGGCCAGGAAACCACCTGCACGGGGGAGGTGCGAGTCTGTGGGCTGGGAGGGGGCGGGGCTACTGCCCAGACCCGCCAGAAGCCCGGTGGGCGAGGCTGATGCGTCGAAGTGGCGGTGGCGGGGACCGCGCCTATGCTGCGGGCTCAGTGTGGGCGGGACGGGCGGGATCTTCCTTGAGTGGAAAGGTGGTCAGGGTGGGCAGAGACGAGGTGGGGCCAAACCCCGCCCCAGGCAGGGGAGCAATGTGGGTGAGCAAAGAGTGGGCCCTGTGCCCAGCTGGACCGGGCTAGGGACTGCGGGAGACCTTGTGGAGCGCCAGGGTTGGAGTGGGTGGCGGAGGGTGGGGCCAAGGCCTTCATGGCAACGCCCACGTGTCCGTCCCGCCCACAGGGGTGATCCTGTCGCGCTATGGGCCCGCGTGGCGCGAGCAGAGGCGCTTCTCCGTGTCCACCTTGCGCAACTTGGGCCTGGGCAAGAAGTCGCTGGAGCAGTGGGTGACCGAGGAGGCCGCCTGCCTTTGTGCCGCCTTCGCCGACCAAGCCGGTGGGTGATGGGCAGAAGGGCACACAGCGGGAACTGGGAAGGCGGGGGACGGAGAAGGCGACCCCTTACCCGCATCTCCCACCCCCAGGACGCCCCTTTCGCCCCAACGGTCTCTTGGACAAAGCCGTGAGCAACGTGATCGCCTCCCTCACCTGCGGGCGCCGCTTCGAGTACGACGACCCTCGCTTCCTCAGGCTGCTGGACCTAGCTCAGGGAGGGATCGAAGGAGGAGTCGGGCTTCCTGCGCGAGGTGCGGAGCAAGGGTCTTTGCAGGGCGAGCTCCTGAGAGGTGCCGGGGCTGGACTGGGGCCTCCGAAGGGCAGGATTTGCGTAGATGGGTTTGGGAAAGGACATTCCAGGAGACCCCACTGTAAGAAGGGCCTGGAGGAGGAGGGGACATCTCAGACATGGTCGTGGGAGAGGTGTGCCCGGGTCAGGGGGCACCAGGAGAGGCCAAGGACTCTGTACCCCCGTCCACGTTGGAGATTTCGATTTTAGGTTTCTCCTCTGGGCAAGGAGAGAGAGGGTGGAGGCTGGCACTTGGGGAGGGACTTGGTGAGGTCAGTGGTAAGGACAGGCAGGCCCTGGGTCTTCCTGGAGATGGCTGGGGCCTGAGACTGGTCCAGATGAACGCAGAGCACAGGAAGGATTGAGACCCGGTTCTGTCTGGTGTAGGTGCTGAATGCTGTCCCCGTCCTCCCGCACATCCCAGCGCTGGCTGGCAAGGTCCTACGCTTCCAAAAGGCTTTCCTGACCCAGCTGGATGAGCTGCTAACTGAGCACAGGATGACCTGGGACCCAGCCCAGCCACCCCGAGACCTGACTGAGGCCTTCCTGGCAAAGAAGGAGAAGGTGAGAGTGGCTGCCACGGTGGGGGGCAAGGGTGGTGGGTTGAACGTCCCAGGAGGAATGAGGGGAGGCTGGGCAAAAGGTTGGACCAGTGCATCACCCGGCGAGCCGCATCTGGGCTGACAGGTGCAGAATTGGAGGTCATTTGGGGGCTACCCCGTTCTATCCCCTGAGTATCCTCTCGGCCCTGCTCAGGCCAAGGGGAGCCCTGAGAGCAGCTTCAATGATGAGAACCTGCGCATAGTGGTGGGTAACCTGTTCCTTGCCGGGATGGTGACCACCTTGACCACGCTGGCCTGGGGCCTCCTGCTCATGATCCTACACCTGGATGTGCAGCGTGAGCCCAGCTGGGGCCCAAGGCAGGGACTGAGGGAGGAAGGGTACAGCTGGGGGCCCCTGGGCTTAGCTGGGACACCCGGGGCTTCCAGCACAGGCGTGGCCAGGCTCCTGTAAGCCTAACTTCCTCCAACACAGGAGGAAGGAGAGTGTCCCCTGGGTGCTGACCCATTGTGGGGACGCATGTCTGTCCAGTCCGTGTCCAACAGGAGATCGACGACGTGATAGGGCAGGTGCGGCGACCAGAGATGGGTGACCAGGCTCACATGCCCTACACCACTGCCGTGATTCATGAGGTGCAGCACTTTGGGGACATCGTCCCCCTGGGTGTGACCCATATGACATCCCGTGACATCGAAGTACAGGGCTTCCGCATCCCTAAGGTAGGCCTGGCGCCCTCCTCACCCCAGCTCAGCACCAGCCCCTGGTGATAGCCCCAGCATGGCTACTGCCAGGTGGGCCCACTCTAGGAACCCTGGCCACCTAGTCCTCAATGCCACCACACTGACTGTCCCCACTTGGGTGGGGGGTCCAGAGTATAGGCAGGGCTGGCCTGTCCATCCAGAGCCCCCGTCTAGTGGGGAGACAAACCAGGACCTGCCAGAATGTTGGAGGACCCAGCGCCTGCAGGGAGAGGGGGCAGTGTGGGTGCCTCTGAGAGGTGTGACTGCGCCCTGCTGTGGGGTCGGAGAGGGTACTGTGGAGCTTCTCGGGCGCAGGACTAGTTGACAGAGTCCAGCTGTGTGCCAGGCAGTGTGTGTCCCCCGTGTGTTTGGTGGCAGGGGTCCCAGCATCCTAGAGTCCAGTCCCCACTCTCACCCTGCATCTCCTGCCCAGGGAACGACACTCATCACCAACCTGTCATCGGTGCTGAAGGATGAGGCCGTCTGGGAGAAGCCCTTCCGCTTCCACCCCGAACACTTCCTGGATGCCCAGGGCCACTTTGTGAAGCCGGAGGCCTTCCTGCCTTTCTCAGCAGGTGCCTGTGGGGAGCCCGGCTCCCTGTCCCCTTCCGTGGAGTCTTGCAGGGGTATCACCCAGGAGCCAGGCTCACTGACGCCCCTCCCCTCCCCACAGGCCGCCGTGCATGCCTCGGGGAGCCCCTGGCCCGCATGGAGCTCTTCCTCTTCTTCACCTCCCTGCTGCAGCACTTCAGCTTCTCCGTGGCCGCCGGACAGCCCCGGCCCAGCCACTCTCGTGTCGTCAGCTTTCTGGTGACCCCATCCCCCTATGAGCTTTGTGCTGTGCCCCGCTAGAATGGGGTACCTAGTCCCCAGCCTGTTCCCTAGCCAGAGGCTCTAATGTACAATAAAGCAATGTGGTAGTTCCAACTCGGGTCCCCTGCTCACGCCCTCGTTGGGATCATCCTCCTCAGGGCAACCCCACCCCTGCCTCATTCCTGCTTACCCCACCGCCTGGCCGCATTTGAGACGGGTACGTTGAGGCTGAGCAGATGTCAGTTACCCTTGCCCATAATCCCGTGTCCCCCACTGACCCAACTCTGACTGCCCAGATTGGTGACAAGGACTACATTGTCCTGGCATGTGGGGAAGGGGCCAGAATGGGCTGACTAGAGGTGTCAGTCAGCCCTGGATGTGGTGGAGAGGGCAGGACTCAGCCTGGAGGCCCATATTTCAGGCCTAACTCAGCCCACCCCACATCAGGGACAGCAGTCCTGCCAGCACCATCACAACAGTCACCTCCCTTCATATATGACACCCCAAAATGGAAGACAAATCATGTCAGGGAGCTATATGCCAGGGCTACCTCCCAGGGCTCAGTCGGCAGGTGCCAGAACATTCCCTGGGAAGGCCCCAGGAAAACCCAGGACCGAGCCACCGCCCTCAGCCTGTCACCTTGTGTCCAAAATTGGTGGGTTCTTGGTCTCACTGACTTCAAGAATGAAGCTGTGGACCCTCACGGTGAGTGTTACAGTTCTTAAAGATGGTGTGTTCAGAGTTTGTTCCTTCTGATGTTAAGACGTGTTCAGAGTTTCTTCCTTCTGGTGGGTGCGTGGTCTTGCTGGCTTCAGGAGTGAAGCTGCAGACCTTCACAGTGAGTGTTACGGCTCTTAAGGCTGCACATACGGAGTTGTTCATTCTTCCTGGTGGGTTTGTGGTCTCACTGGCCTCAGGAGTGAAACTGCAGTCCTTCCAGTGTTACAACTCATAAAGGCAGTGTGGACCCAATGAGGGAGCAGCAGCAGCAAGACTTACTGCAAACAGCAAAAGAATGATGGCAACCAGGTTGCCGCTGCTACTTCAGGCAGCCTGCTTTTATTCCCTTATCTGACCCCCACCCACATCCTGCTGATTGGCCCATTTTACAGACAGTGGATTGGTCCACTTACAGAGAGCTGATTGGTGCATTTACAATCCCTGAGCTAGACACAGAGTACTGATTGGTATATTTACAAACCTTGAGCTAGACACAGAGTGCTGAATGGTGTATTTACAATCCCTTAGCTAGACATAAAGGTTGTCCCAGTCCCCACTAGATTAGCTAGATAGAGTAGACAGAGAGCACTGATTGGTGCGTTTACAAACCTTGAGTTAGACACAGGGTGCTGACTGGTGTGTTTACAAACCCTGAGCTAGACACAGAGTGCTGATTGGTGTATTTACAATCTTTTAGCTAGAAATAAAGGTTCCCCAAGTCCCCACCAGATTAGCTAGATACAGAGTGCTAATTGGTGCATGCACGAACCCGGAGCTAGACACAGAGTGCTGATTGGTGCATATACAATCCTCTGGCTAGACATAAAAGTTCTCCAAGTCCCCACCTGACTCAGGAGCCCAGCCAGCTTCGCCTAGTGGATCCTATGCCAGGGCCACAGGCAGAGCTGCCTGCTAGTCCCACACCAGGCACCTGTACTCCTCAGCCCTTGGGCAGTGGACGGGACCAGGTGCCGTGGAGCAGTGGGAGGCACCCATCCGGGAGGCTTGGGCCTCGCAGGGAGCCCACCGTAGGGAGGCTTGGGCATGGCAGGCTGCAAGTCCTGAGCCCTGCCCCGCGGGGAGGTGACTGAGGCCTGGCGACAATTCAAGTGTGGTGAGCGCCGGCAGGCCAGCAGTACTGGGGGACCCGGTGCCCCCTCTGCAGCTGCTGGCCCAGGTGCTAAGCCCCTCACTGCCTGGGGCCAGAGGCACCAGCCGGCCGCTCCGAGTGCAGGGCCCGCTGAGCCCCTGCCCACCCAGAACTGGTGCTGGCCCGCGAGCAACCCAGGTTCCCGCACACGCCTCTCCCTCCATACCTCCCCGCAAGCAGACGGAGCCGGCTCCAGCCTCCACCAGTCCAGAGAGGGGCTCCCACAGTGCAGCGCTGGGCTGAAGGGCTCCTCAAGTGTGGTCAGAGCAGAAGCTGAGGCCGAGGAGGCGCTGAGAGCGAGCGAGGACCGCCAGCACGTTGACACCTCTCAACCTCACCACAGGACTGGCCACCTCTCTGGGCCCTCAGGGATGCTGCTGTCTGGACCCCTGACCAGTGACGAGTTCGCACTCAGGGCCAGGCTGGCGCTGGAGGAGGACACTTGTTTGGCTCCAACCCTAGGTACCATCCTCCCAGTAGGGATCAGGCAGGGCCCACAGGCCTGCCCTAGGGACAGGAGTCAACCTTGGACCCATAAGGCACTGGGGCGGGCAGAGAAGGAGGAGGTGGCATGGGCAGCTGAGAGCCAGAGACCCTGACCCTAGTCCTTGCTCTGCCATTACCCCGTGTGACCCCGGGCCCACCCTTCCCCACCCTTCCCCACCCTTCCCCACCCCGGGCTTCTGTTTCCCTTCTGCCAACGAGAAGGCTGCTTCACCTGCCCCGAGTCCTGTCTTCCTGCTCTGCCTTCTGGGGCTGTGGCCCTTGCTGGCCTGGAGCCCCAACCAAGGGCAGGGACTGCTGTCCTCCACATCTGTCCTCACCGACATAATGGGCTGGGCTGGGCACACAGGCAGTGCCCAAGAGTTTCTAATGAGCATATGATTACCTGAGTCCTGGGCAGACCTTCTTAGGGAACAGCCTGGGACAGAGAACCACAGACACTCTGAGGAGCCACCTGAGGCCTCTTTTGCCAGAGGACCCTACAGCCTCCCTGGCAGCAGTTCCGCCAGCATTTCTGTAAATGCCCTCATGCCAGGGTGCGGCCCGGCTGTCAGCACGAGAGGGACGTTGGTCTGTCCCCTGGCACCGAGTCAGTCAGAAGGGTGGCCAGGGCCCCCTTGGGCCCCTCCAGAGACAATCCACTGTGGTCACACGGCTCGGTGGCAGGAAGTGCTGTTCCTGCAGCTGTGGGGACAGGGAGTGTGGATGAAGCCAGGCTGGGTTTGTCTGAAGACGGAGGCCCCGAAAGGTGGCAGCCTGGCCTATAGCAGCAGCAACTCTTGGATTTATTGGAAAGATTTTCTTCACGGTTCTGAGTCTTGGGGGTGTTAGAGGCTCAGAACCAGTCCAGCCAGAGCTCTGTCATGGGCACGTAGACCCGGTCCCAGGGCCTTTGCTCTTTGCTGTCCTCAGAGGCCTCTGCAAAGTAGAAACAGGCAGCCTTGTGAGTCCCCTCCTGGGAGCAACCAACCCTCCCTCTGAGATGCCCCGGGGCCAGGTCAGCTGTGGTGAAAGGTAGGGATGCAGCCAGCTCAGGGGAGTGGCCCAGAGTTCCTGCCCACCCAAGGAGGCTCCCAGGAAGGTCAAGGCACCTGACTCCTGGGCTGCTTCCCTCCCCTCCCCTCCCCAGGTCAGGAAGGTGGGAAAGGGCTGGGGTGTCTGTGACCCTGGCAGTCACTGAGAAGCAGGGTGGAAGCAGCCCCCTGCAGCACGCTGGGTCAATGGTCTTACCAGATGGATACGCAGCAACTTCCTTTTGAACCTTTTTATTTTCCTGGCAGGAAGAAGAGGGATCCAGCAGTGAGATCAGGCAGGTTCTGTGTTGCACAGACAGGGAAACAGGCTCTGTCCACACAAAGTCGGTGGGGCCAGGATGAGGCCCAGTCTGTTCACACATGGCTGCTGCCTCTCAGCTCTGCACAGACGTCCTCGCTCCCCTGGGATGGCAGCTTGGCCTGCTGGTCTTGGGGTTGAGCCAGCCTCCAGCACTGCCTCCCTGCCCTGCTGCCTCCCACTCTGCAGTGCTCCATGGCTGCTCAGTTGGACCCACGCTGGAGACGTTCAGTCGAAGCCCCGGGCTGTCCTTACCTCCCAGTCTGGGGTACCTGCCACCTCCTGCTCAGCAGGAATGGGGCTAGGTGCTTCCTCCCCTGGGGACTTCACCTGCTCTCCCTCCTGGGATAAGACGGCAGCCTCCTCCTTGGGGGCAGCAGCATTCAGTCCTCCAGGTCTCCTGGGGGTCGTGACCTGCAGGAGGAATAAGAGGGCAGACTGGGCAGAAAGGCCTTCAGAGCACCTCATCCTCCTGTTCTCACACTGGGGTGTCACAGTCCTGGGAAGTTCTTCCTTTTCAGTTGAGCTGTGGTAACCTTGTGAGTTTCCTGGAGGGGGCCTGCCACTACCCTTGGGACTCCCTGCCGTGTGTCTGGGTCTAACTGAGCTCTGAAAGGAGAGAGCCCCAGCCCTGGGCCTTCCAGGGGAAGCCTTACCTCAGAGGTTGGCTTCTTCCTACTCTTGACTTTGCGTCTCTGCAGAGGGAGGTGGGAGGGGTGACACAACCCTGACACCCACACTATGAGTGATGAGTAGTCCTGCCCCGACTGGCCCATCCTTTCCAGGTGCAGTCCCCCTTACTGTGTCTGCCAAGGGTGCCAGCACAGCCGCCCCACTCCAGGGGAAGAGGAGTGCCAGCCCTTACCCACCTGAGTGGGCACAGTGTAGCATTTATTCATTAGCCCCCACACTGGCCTGACCATCTCCCCTGTGGGCTGCATGACAAGGAGAGAGAACAGGCTGAGGTGAGAGCTACTGTCAACACCTAAACCTAAAAAATCTATAATTGGGCTGGGCAGGGTGGCTCACGCCTGTAATCCCAGCACTTTGGGAGGCCGAGATGGGTGGATCACCTGAGGTCAGATGTTCGAGACCAGCCTGGCCAACATGGTGAAACCCCGTCTCTACTAAAAATACAAAAAATTAGCTGGGCGTGGTGGTGGGTGCCTGTAATCCCAGCTACTCAGGAGGCTGAGGCAGGAGAATTGCTTGAACCTGGGAGGCAGAGGTTGCAGTGAGCCGAGATCACACCATTGCACTCCAGTCTGGGTGATAAGTATGAAACGCCATCTCCAAAACAAAAGAAAAGCCTAATTCCCCAAGAACTGTCAGTCTTTCACCTGTCTGCTAGCTCCCAGGGAGACCCCACTTGCCAGGGCTGTCTACATTTGTCCTGAGATCTCTTCTGGTGGGAACAGCACTTTCCTCAGGAAAGTTTGTTGAAAGTCATCAGATCCATGATTGAAAATCGAAGCTGCCTGTGGTGATGGATAACAGCTGGGGTTAAAAAGCAGCAGCTGGGGCATGAGCGGTCCACAGTGAGTTTTTGTTGTTGTTTTTGTTTTTTTGGGTGGGGGATGGGGTCTTGCTAGGTCTCAAACTCCTGGCCTCAAGTCATCCTCCCATTACAGCCTTCTGAGTCACTGACACTACAGGTGTGAGCCACCATGTCCAGCTTGTAGTGGTTTTGAACAGCTCTTGCCCCTTCTTGGGAATCTAGGTGCCCTGCACGTGGGTAAGGCTGTCTGCAGCTGTGCCCATATTCAGGAAGGCCGGCAAGGCCCTGAGCCCTCACCCGTGACTGACCTGAGGTGCTGTGCAGACAGCAGGTGACGGCTAAGGGAAAGTTGAGCACTGCCTAGCCGAGCACTGAAGCCACGCCCGGCACACAGAGAGAGACCCACTCGGCAAAGACTTCGCTTCCAGGCACCTAAGGAACTCTCTGACCAGTCATTAGCTGACCACTGCCGTAACTGAAGAGCGGCTTCAGTGGCCACAGCTCGCAGGGAATGGAGACATTAATGCTTAGTCAGAATTAGTTCAGAAAAGTCACCCAGCAAAGAAACAGCTCCAACAGGCAACAACAACAACACATCCTTGGCAGGGAAGAGAATCTGACTTCCGGAGTTGCCACATTATCGCCCGTGAAATGTCCAGGTTTTAACAAATTATGAGACATGGAAAGGAAACCGAAAGGACGACCCAGACACGGGAAAAGTCACCAATGGGACCAGCCCGATGCTGCAATTGCTAGACAAAGACGTTCAGTCAGCTCATTTAAATATGTTCAAAGACCTAAAACATGCTGCATCTGAGGCTGCACCGGCTGGAACCTGCTGATCTCGGAAGCTAAGCATGGTCAGGCCTGGCTAGTACTTCAAAGGGAGAAACCACGTGTAGGCCTGGTGCAGTGGCTCACACCTATAATCCTAGCACTCTGGGAAGCTGAGGCCCGTGGATTGCTTGAGCCCAGGAGTTTGAGAGCAGCTTGGGAAATGTGGTGAGACCCCCATCTCTACAAAAAATTTAAAAAATTAGCTGGCTGCCTATGGTCCCAGCCTCTCAGGATGCTGAGGTAGGAGGATCACTTCAGCCCAGGAAGTTGAGGCTGCAGTGAGCCATGACTGCATCACTGCACTCCAGCTTGGGCGACAGAGAGACCCTCTCCCAAGAAAAAGAAAAGAACCATGTCAAAAGAACTAACGAAAGTGTGGGAACAATGTCTCACCAATTAGAGAATATCAATAATGGGATGAACCTTATAAAAAGGGGCTGGGCATGGTGGCTCATGCCTATAATCCCAGCACTTTGGGAGGCTGAGGCGGGCATATCATGAGGTCAAGAGATTGAGACCAGCCTGGCCAACATGGTGAAACCCCGTCTCTACTTAAAATACAAAAATTAGCCGGGCGTGGTGGCACGTGCCTGTAATCCCAGCTACTCGGGAGGCTGAGGCAGGAGAATCGCTTGAACCCGAGAGGCAGAGATTGCAGTGAGCCGAGATTGCACCACTGCACTACAGCCTGGGTGACAGAGCGATACTCCAAAAAACAAAACAAAACAAAAAACAAAAAAAAAGTTTAAAAAGGAACCAAATAAAAATTCTGGAGTTGTAGGGTAAAATAAATGAAAATTCATCCCAGGGGCCCAAGAGCAGATTGGAACAATTGGAAGAAAGAGCCTGTGACTATGGAGAGAGGCCACCTGAGGTAGTCCCCTCTGAGGAACAGGAACAAGCATGAAGAGCAATGCACAGAGATCCAGAGACCTGGAGACGCCGTCAAGCTTTCCGACATACACACAATGGGAGTCCCAGGAAAGAAGACAGGGAGAAAGGAGTAAAGGAATAGTTGAAGAATTAATGGCTGAAAAACCTCCCAAATCTGATGAAAAATATTAATCCGTACATCCAAAAAGCTCATCAAACTCCAAGTAGGGTAAACTCAAAGAGATCTTCAGCCATACGCATCATCATAATCACTGTCAAAAGACAGATTTTTCTTTTTTTAGAATTTTAAATGTACCTTTTAATTTGCTCCTGGGGCAAAGAGCCAGGACTGGTACTAGAGCAGTGTCTGGGATGAGAAGAATTTAATAAAATGGGATTAGGTCCAATGGTTGGGTTAGGGGAGGCAACCTGCTCGGAAGGATCAGCCTCAACCTATCCATGCAGCAGGGCCTCCACCTGTCCCTCTCCGTAGTCCCACACCTGGAACCCAGAGCCATCTGCCTCTTCCCAGATCATGGCCGACAGCACTCCACCGGACTGCTGCTGGAGCAGGCACAGGATTCACTTATTGAGGGCTGTGGCCTGGCACAGATCATAGCCTATACCCAGGGACAGTTGTGTCACTTCTGCCACCACCACATCCGCCTTCTGCAGCCACATCAAGTACCACTCATGGATGAGCCCGTCACCCCCAGCGGACTTATCAACCCCGCGTCCAGCTCCACAGCCGCCACGTGCTCGGTGAGCACTGGCTCCAAGCATGGCAGCTGCCATACAATCCACCTGTAGAGGGCCCGGTCCTCCTGTCCTCAGTGGATGATCCCGTAGAAGTCCAGAGCTCGGCAGCTGCCCTCCCACAAAAGACAGGATTTTGAAAGCAGCAAGAGAGAAGAGACGTATCAGGTAGTCACAGTGGCTCAGGCCTGTAATCCCAGCACTTTGGGAGGCCCAGGTGGGAGGATCGCTTCACCCCAGGAATTCAAGACCAGCCTGGACAACTTGGAAGAACCCGGTCTCTACAAAAAATACAAAATTAGCTGGGATTGGGTGCGGTGGCTCATGCCTATAATCCCAGCACTTTGGGAGCCTGAGGTGGGTGGATCACCTGAAGTCAGGAGTTCAAGACTAGCCTGGCCAACATGGTGAAACCCTATCTCTACTGAAAATATAAAAAGCTAGACGTGGTGGCACACACCTGTAATCCCAGCTACTTAGGAGGCTGAGGCAGGAGAATTGCTTGAAGCCTAGAGGTGAAGGTTGTAGTGAGCCGAGATTGCATCATTGCACAATGGAGGGGAGCCACCAGCCTGGGCAACAAGAGGAAATCTCCGTCTCCAAAAAAAAAAAAAAAAAAAAAAAAGGATTAGGCTGGGTGGTGCCTGTAGTCCCAGCTACTTGGGAGGCAGGGGGTCCACTTGATGTCGAGACTGCAGTGAGCCATGATCCTGCCACTGCACTCCGGCCTGGGCAACAGAGTGAGACCCTGTCTAAAGAAAAAAAAAATAAAGCAACATATCCTGAACAAAGGATCCTCCATAACGTTCCCACCAGATTTCTAATCAGAAACATGGAGGCCAGAAAGCAGTGGAGGAGGACAACCCTCAGGCAGCCCGGGAGGATGTTGTCACAGGCTGGGGCAAGGGCCTTCCGGCTACCAACTGGGAGCTCTGGGAACAGCCCTGTTGCAAACAAGAAGCCATAGCCCGGCCAGAGCCCAGGAATGTGGGCTGGGCTGGGAGCAGCCTCTGGACAGGAGTGGTCCCATCCAGGAAACCTCCGGCATGGCTGGGAAGTGGGGTACTTGGTGCCGGGTCTGTATGTGTGTGTGACTGGTGTGTGTGAGAGAGAATGTGTGCCCTAAGTGTCAGTGTGAGTCTGTGTATGTGTGAATATTGTCTTTGTGTGGGTGATTTTCTGCGTGTGTAATCGTGTCCCTGCAAGTGTGAACAAGTGGACAAGTGTCTGGGAGTGGACAAGAGATCTGTGCACCATCAGGTGTGTGCATAGCGTCTGTGCATGTCAAGAGTGCAAGGTGAAGTGAAGGGACCAGGCCCATGATGCCACTCATCATCAGGAGCTCTAAGGCCCCAGGTAAGTGCCAGTGACAGATAAGGGTGCTGAAGGTCACTCTGGAGTGGGCAGGTGGGGGTAGGGAAAGGGCAAGGCCATGTTCTGGAGGAGGGGTTGTGACTACATTAGGGTGTATGAGCCTAGCTGGGAGGTGGATGGCCGGGTCCACTGAAACCCTGGTTATCCCAGAAGGCTTTGCAGGCTTCAGGAGCTTGGAGTGGGGAGAGGGGGTGACTTCTCCGACCAGGCCCCTCCACCGGCCTACCCTGGGTAAGGGCCTGGAGCAGGAAGCAGGGGCAAGAACCTCTGGAGCAGCCCATACCCGCCCTGGCCTGACTCTGCCACTGGCAGCACAGTCAACACAGCAGGTTCACTCACAGCAGAGGGCAAAGGCCATCATCAGCTCCCTTTATAAGGGAAGGGTCACGCGCTCGGTGTGCTGAGAGTGTCCTGCCTGGTCCTCTGTGCCTGGTGGGGTGGGGGTGCCAGGTGTGTCCAGAGGAGCCCATTTGGTAGTGAGGCAGGTATGGGGCTAGAAGCACTGGTGCCCCTGGCCGTGATAGTGGCCATCTTCCTGCTCCTGGTGGACCTGATGCACCGGCGCCAACGCTGGGCTGCACGCTACTCACCAGGCCCCCTGCCACTGCCCGGGCTGGGCAACCTGCTGCATGTGGACTTCCAGAACACACCATACTGCTTCGACCAGGTGAGGGAGGAGGTCCTGGAGGGCGGCAGAGGTGCTGAGGCTCCCCTACCAGAAGCAAACATGGATGGTGGGTGAAACCACAGGCTGGACCAGAAGCCAGGCTGAGAAGGGGAAGCAGGTTTGGGGGACTTCCTGGAGAAGGGCATTTATACATGGCATGAAGGACTGGATTTTCCAAAGGCCAAGGAAGAGTAGGGCAAGGGCCTGGAGGTGGAGCTGGACTTGGCAGTGGGCATGCAAGCCCATTGGGCAACATATGTTATGGAGTACAAAGTCCCTTCTGCTGACACCAGAAGGAAAGGCCTTGGGAATGGAAGATGAGTTAGTCCTGAGTGCCGTTTAAATCACGAAATCGAGGATGAAGGGGGTGCAGTGACCCGGTTCAAACCTTTTGCACTGTGGGTCCTCGGGCCTCACTGCTCACCGGCATGGACCATCATCTGGGAATGGGATGCTAACTGGGGCCTCTCGGCAATTTTGGTGACTCTTGCAAGGTCATACCTGGGTGACGCATCCAAACTGAGTTCCTCCATCACAGAAGGTGTGACCCCCACCCCCGCCCCAGGATCAGGAGGCTGGGTCTCCTCCTTCCACCTGCTCACTCCTGGTAGCCCCGGGGGTCGTCCAAGGTTCAAATAGGACTAGGACCTGTAGTCTGGGGGGATCCTGGCTTGACAAGAGGCCCTGACCCTCCCTCTGCAGTTGCGGCGCCGCTTCGGGGACGTGTTCAGCCTGCAGCTGGCCTGGACGCCGGTGGTCGTGCTCAATGGGCTGGCGGCCGTGCGCGAGGCGATGGTGACCCGCGGCGAGGACACGGCCGACCGCCCGCCTGTGCCCATCACCCAGATCCTGGGTTTCGGGCCGCGTTCCCAAGGCAAGCAGCGGTGGGGACAGAGACAGATTTCCGTGGGACCCGGGTGGGTGATGACCGTAGTCCGAGCTGGGCAGAGAGGGCGCGGGGTCGTGGACATGAAACAGGCCAGCGAGTGGGGACAGCGGGCCAAGAAACCACCTGCACTAGGGAGGTGTGAGCATGGGGACGAGGGCGGGGCTTGTGACGAGTGGGCGGGGCCACTGCCGAGACCTGGCAGGAGCCCAATGGGTGAGGCTGGCGCATTTCCCAGCTGGAATCCGGTGTCGAAGTGGGGGGCGGGGACCGCACCTGTGCTGTAAGCTCAGTGTGGGTGGCGCGGGGCCCGCGGGGTCTTCCCTGAGTGCAAAGGCGGTCAGGGTGGGCAGAGACGAGGTGGGGCAAAGCCCTGCCCCAGCCAAGGGAGCAAGGTGGATGCACAAAGAGTGGGCCCTGTGACCAGCTGGACAGAGCCAGGGACTGCGGGAGACCAGGGGGAGCATAGGGTTGGAGTGGGTGGTGGATGGTGGGGCTAATGCCTTCATGGCCACGCGCACGTGCCCGTCCCACCCCCAGGGGTGTTCCTGGCGCGCTATGGGCCCGCGTGGCGCGAGCAGAGGCGCTTCTCCGTCTCCACCTTGCGCAACTTGGGCCTGGGCAAGAAGTCGCTGGAGCAGTGGGTGACCGAGGAGGCCGCCTGCCTTTGTGCCGCCTTCGCCAACCACTCCGGTGGGTGATGGGCAGAAGGGCACAAAGCGGGAACTGGGAAGGCGGGGGACGGGGAAGGCGACCCCTTACCCGCATCTCCCACCCCCAAGACGCCCCTTTCGCCCCAACGGTCTCTTGGACAAAGCCGTGAGCAACGTGATCGCCTCCCTCACCTGCGGGCGCCGCTTCGAGTACGACGACCCTCGCTTCCTCAGGCTGCTGGACCTAGCTCAGGAGGGACTGAAGGAGGAGTCGGGCTTTCTGCGCGAGGTGCGGAGCGAGAGACCGAGGAGTCTCTGCAGGGCGAGCTCCCGAGAGGTGCCGGGGCTGGACTGGGGCCTCGGAAGAGCAGGATTTGCGTAGATGGGTTTGGGAAAGGACATTCCAGGAGACCCCACTGTAAGAAGGGCCTGGAGGAGGAGGGGACATCTCAGACATGGTCGTGGGAGAGGTGTGCCCGGGTCAGGGGGCACCAGGAGAGGCCAAGGACTCTGTACCTCCTATCCACGTCAGAGATTTCGATTTTAGGTTTCTCCTCTGGGCAAGGAGAGAGGGTGGAGGCTGGCACTTGGGGAGGGACTTGGTGAGGTCAGTGGTAAGGACAGGCAGGCCCTGGGTCTACCTGGAGATGGCTGGGGCCTGAGACTTGTCCAGGTGAACGCAGAGCACAGGAGGGATTGAGACCCCGTTCTGTCTGGTGTAGGTGCTGAATGCTGTCCCCGTCCTCCTGCATATCCCAGCGCTGGCTGGCAAGGTCCTACGCTTCCAAAAGGCTTTCCTGACCCAGCTGGATGAGCTGCTAACTGAGCACAGGATGACCTGGGACCCAGCCCAGCCCCCCCGAGACCTGACTGAGGCCTTCCTGGCAGAGATGGAGAAGGTGAGAGTGGCTGCCACGGTGGGGGGCAAGGGTGGTGGGTTGAGCGTCCCAGGAGGAATGAGGGGAGGCTGGGCAAAAGGTTGGACCAGTGCATCACCCGGCGAGCCGCATCTGGGCTGACAGGTGCAGAATTGGAGGTCATTTGGGGGCTACCCCGTTCTGTCCCGAGTATGCTCTCGGCCCTGCTCAGGCCAAGGGGAACCCTGAGAGCAGCTTCAATGATGAGAACCTGCGCATAGTGGTGGCTGACCTGTTCTCTGCCGGGATGGTGACCACCTCGACCACGCTGGCCTGGGGCCTCCTGCTCATGATCCTACATCCGGATGTGCAGCGTGAGCCCATCTGGGAAACAGTGCAGGGGCCGAGGGAGGAAGGGTACAGGCGGGGGCCCATGAACTTTGCTGGGACACCCGGGGCTCCAAGCACAGGCTTGACCAGGATCCTGTAAGCCTGACCTCCTCCAACATAGGAGGCAAGAAGGAGTGTCAGGGCCGGACCCCCTGGGTGCTGACCCATTGTGGGGACGCATGTCTGTCCAGGCCGTGTCCAACAGGAGATCGACGACGTGATAGGGCAGGTGCGGCGACCAGAGATGGGTGACCAGGCTCACATGCCCTACACCACTGCCGTGATTCATGAGGTGCAGCGCTTTGGGGACATCGTCCCCCTGGGTGTGACCCATATGACATCCCGTGACATCGAAGTACAGGGCTTCCGCATCCCTAAGGTAGGCCTGGCGCCCTCCTCACCCCAGCTCAGCACCAGCCCCTGGTGATAGCCCCAGCATGGCTACTGCCAGGTGGGCCCACTCTAGGAACCCTGGCCACCTAGTCCTCAATGCCACCACACTGACTGTCCCCACTTGGGTGGGGGGTCCAGAGTATAGGCAGGGCTGGCCTGTCCATCCAGAGCCCCCGTCTAGTGGGGAGACAAACCAGGACCTGCCAGAATGTTGGAGGACCCAGCGCCTGCAGGGAGAGGGGGCAGTGTGGGTGCCTCTGAGAGGTGTGACTGCGCCCTGCTGTGGGGTCGGAGAGGGTACTGTGGAGCTTCTCGGGCGCAGGACTAGTTGACAGAGTCCAGCTGTGTGCCAGGCAGTGTGTGTCCCCCGTGTGTTTGGTGGCAGGGGTCCCAGCATCCTAGAGTCCAGTCCCCACTCTCACCCTGCATCTCCTGCCCAGGGAACGACACTCATCACCAACCTGTCATCGGTGCTGAAGGATGAGGCCGTCTGGGAGAAGCCCTTCCGCTTCCACCCCGAACACTTCCTGGATGCCCAGGGCCACTTTGTGAAGCCGGAGGCCTTCCTGCCTTTCTCAGCAGGTGCCTGTGGGGAGCCCGGCTCCCTGTCCCCTTCCGTGGAGTCTTGCAGGGGTATCACCCAGGAGCCAGGCTCACTGACGCCCCTCCCCTCCCCACAGGCCGCCGTGCATGCCTCGGGGAGCCCCTGGCCCGCATGGAGCTCTTCCTCTTCTTCACCTCCCTGCTGCAGCACTTCAGCTTCTCGGTGCCCACTGGACAGCCCCGGCCCAGCCACCATGGTGTCTTTGCTTTCCTGGTGACCCCATCCCCCTATGAGCTTTGTGCTGTGCCCCGCTAGAATGGGGTACCTAGTCCCCAGCCTGCTCCCTAGCCAGAGGCTCTAATGTACAATAAAGCAATGTGGTAGTTCCAACTCGGGTCCCCTGCTCACGCCCTCGTTGGGATCATCCTCCTCAGGGCAACCCCACCCCTGCCTCATTCCTGCTTACCCCACCGCCTGGCCGCATTTGAGACAGGGGTATGTTGAGGCTGAGCAGATGTCAGTTACCCTTGCCCATAATCCCATGTCCCCCACTGACCCAACTCTGACTGCCCAGATTGGTGACAAGGACTACATTGTCCTGGCATGTGGGGAAGGGGCCAGAATGGGCTGACTAGAGGTGTCAGTCAGCCCTGGATGTGGTGGAGAGGGCAGGACTCAGCCTGGAGGCCCATATTTCAGGCCTAACTCAGCCCACCCCACATCAGGGACAGCAGTCCTGCCAGCACCATCACAACAGTCACCTCCCTTCATATATGACACCCCAAAACGGAAGACAAATCATGGCGTCAGGGAGCTATAGGCCAGGGCTACCTACCTCCCAGGGCTCAGTCGGCAGGTGCCAGAACGTTCCCTGGGAAGGCCCCATGGAAGCCCAGGACTGAGCCACCGCCCTCAGCCTCGTCACCTCACCACAGGACTGGCTACCTCTCTGGGCCCTCAGGGACGCTGCTGTACAGACCCCTGACCAGTGACGAGTTCGCACTCAGGGCCAGGCTGGCGCTGGAGGAGGACACTTGTTTGGCTCCAACCCTAGGTACCATCCTCCCAGTAGGGATCAGGCAGGGCCCACAGGCCTGCCCTAGGGACAGGAGTCAACCTTGGACCCATAAGGCACTGGGGCGGGCAGAGAAGGAGGAGGTGGCATGGGCAGCTGAGAGCCAGAGACCCTGACCCTAGTCCTTGCTCTGCCATTACCCCGTGTGACCCCGGGCCCACCCTTCCCCACCCTTCCCCACCCTTCCCCACCCCGGGCTTCTGTTTCCCTTCTGCCAACGAGAAGGCTGCTTCACCTGCCCCGAGTCCTGTCTTCCTGCTCTGCCTTCTGGGGCTGTGGCCCTTGCTGGCCTGGAGCCCCAACCAAGGGCAGGGACTGCTGTCCTCCACGTCTGTCCTCACCGACATAATGGGCTGGGCTGGGCACACAGGCAGTGCCCAAGAGTTTCTAATGAGCATATGATTACCTGAGTCCTGGGCAGACCTTCTTAGGGAACAGCCTGGGACAGAGAACCACAGACACTCTGAGGAGCCACCTGAGGCCTCTTTTGCCAGAGGACCCTACAGCCTCCCTGGCAGCAGTTCCGCCAGCATTTCTGTAAATGCCCTCATGCCAGGGTGCGGCCCGGCTGTCAGCACGAGAGGGACGTTGGTCTGTCCCCTGGCACCGAGTCAGTCAGAAGGGTGGCCAGGGCCCCCTTGGGCCCCTCCAGAGACAATCCACTGTGGTCACACGGCTCGGTGGCAGGAAGTGCTGTTCCTGCAGCTGTGGGGACAGGGAGTGTGGATGAAGCCAGGCTGGGTTTGTCTGAAGACGGAGGCCCCGAAAGGTGGCAGCCTGGCCTATAGCAGCAGCAACTCTTGGATTTATTGGAAAGATTTTCTTCACGGTTCTGAGTCTTGGGGGTGTTAGAGGCTCAGAACCAGTCCAGCCAGAGCTCTGTCATGGGCACGTAGACCCGGTCCCAGGGCCTTTGCTCTTTGCTGTCCTCAGAGGCCTCTGCAAAGTAGAAACAGGCAGCCTTGTGAGTCCCCTCCTGGGAGCAACCAACCCTCCCTCTGAGATGCCCCGGGGCCAGGTCAGCTGTGGTGAAAGGTAGGGATGCAGCCAGCTCAGGGGAGTGGCCCAGAGTTCCTGCCCACCCAAGGAGGCTCCCAGGAAGGTCAAGGCACCTGACTCCTGGGCTGCTTCCCTCCCCTCCCCTCCCCAGGTCAGGAAGGTGGGAAAGGGCTGGGGTGTCTGTGACCCTGGCAGTCACTGAGAAGCAGGGTGGAAGCAGCCCCCTGCAGCACGCTGGGTCAGTGGTCTTACCAGATGGATACGCAGCAACTTCCTTTTGAACCTTTTTATTTTCCTGGCAGGAAGAAGAGGGATCCAGCAGTGAGATCAGGCAGGTTCTGTGTTGCACAGACAGGGAAACAGGCTCTGTCCACACAAAGTCGGTGGGCCAGGATGAGGCCCAGTCTGTTCACACATGGCTGCTGCCTCTCAGCTCTGCACAGACGTCCTCGCTCCCCTGGGATGGCAGCTTGGCCTGCTGGTCTTGGGGTTGAGCCAGCCTCCAGCACTGCCTCCCTGCCCTGCTGCCTCCCACTCTGCAGTGCTCCATGGCTGCTCAGTTGGACCCACGCTGGAGACGTTCAGTCGAAGCCCCGGGCTGTCCTTACCTCCCAGTCTGGGGTACCTGCCACCTCCTGCTCAGCAGGAATGGGGCTAGGTGCTTCCTCCCCTGGGGACTTCACCTGCTCTCCCTCCTGGGATAAGACGGCAGCCTCCTCCTTGGGGGCAGCAGCATTCAGTCCTCCAGGTCTCCTGGGGGTCGTGACCTGCAGGAGGAATAAGAGGGCAGACTGGGCAGAAAGGCCTTCAGAGCACCTCATCCTCCTGTTCTCACACTGGGGTGTCACAGTCCTGGGAAGTTCTTCCTTTTCAGTTGAGCTGTGGTAACCTTGTGAGTTTCCTGGAGGGGGCCTGCCACTACCCTTGGGACTCCCTGCCGTGTGTCTGGGTCTAACTGAGCTCTGAAAGGAGAGAGCCCCAGCCCTGGGCCTTCCAGGGGAAGCCTTACCTCAGAGGTTGGCTTCTTCCTACTCTTGACTTTGCGTCTCTGCAGAGGGAGGTGGGAGGGGTGACACAACCCTGACACCCACACTATGAGTGATGAGTAGTCCTGCCCCGACTGGCCCATCCTTTCCAGGTGCAGTCCCCCTTACTGTGTCTGCCAAGGGTGCCAGCACAGCCGCCCCACTCCAGGGGAAGAGGAGTGCCAGCCCTTACCCACCTGAGTGGGCACAGTGTAGCATTTATTCATTAGCCCCCACACTGGCCTGACCATCTCCCCTGTGGGCTGCATGACAAGGAGAGAGAACAGGCTGAGGTGAGAGCTACTGTCAACACCTAAACCTAAAAAATCTATAATTGGGCTGGGCAGGGTGGCTCACGCCTGTAATCCCAGCACTTTGGGAGGCCGAGATGGGTGGATCACCTGAGGTCAGATGTTCGAGACCAGCCTGGCCAACATGGTGAAACCCCGTCTCTACTAAAAATACAAAAAATTAGCTGGGCGTGGTGGTGGGTGCCTGTAATCCCAGCTACTCAGGAGGCTGAGGCAGGAGAATTGCTTGAACCTGGGAGACAGAGGCTGCAGTGAGCCGAGATCGCATCATTGCACTCCAGCCTGGTCAACAAGAGTGAAACTGTCTTAAAAAAAAAATCTATAATTGATATCTTTAGAAAGATAAAACTTTGCATTCATGAAATAAGAATAGGAGGGTCTAAAATAAAAATGTTCAAACACCCACCACCACTAATTCTTGACAAAAATATAGTCTGGGTGCCTTAGCTCATGCCTGTAATCCCAGCATTTTGGGAGGCTAAGGCAGGAGGATTGTTTGAGCCTAGGAATTCAACACCAGCCTGGGCCACCTAAGGAGACCCCATCTCTACAAAAAATTAAAATACTGGCTGGGTGTGGTGGCACACACCTGTAGTTCCAGCTGCTTGGGAGGCTGAGGTGGGAGGATCACTTGAGTCCAGGAACAAAGCTGCAGTGAACTGTGATCGTGCCACTGCACTCCAGCCTGGGCAACAGAGAAAGACCTTGCCTTAAAAATAAAAAATATAATAATAGGAATGCAAAATCTAATCAAAGTATAGAAGCTAAACTTGAAAAAAATATTTTCCAGAAAGAACAGAGAAGAGGTCAGGAGCTCCAACAGCTAAATTGTTGTTTAGATGTTTCTGAAACAGGCAGCAGAGACAACAGACTAGGAGGCAAGGAAAGATGTCTAATAAATACGTTTCTTTTTTGTCAAGACAAGTTCTCACAGAGGAAGAACATGAGTTTCCAGTAGAGAAGGAAACACCAAGTGTTCATGACAATGAATGAAGGGGACCCAGCCCCAATTTTGTTGTCAAGAAATTTCACAACACTGAGGACAGAGTGGAACCCAAAAACTTCCAGAGAGAAAAAAGTCTGAGCTTCAGGAATTCAACATTCATCAGACTTCTCAACACCAACCTTTGAAGCTATAAGATAATGAAGACCTTCAAAATCTGAGAGAAAATATTTCCAATCTAGAATTCTATACCTAGCCAAATGCTATGCAAGTATG